>NC_000003.12:173251028-173402543 GCF_000001405.40 Homo sapiens | reverse complement strand
ATCAGCACACCTCCAGAATCTGGTTCTGAGATAATGAATGTACTTTTTGTTAAAGCCTTTAATTGGGTACTCTGTTACTTGCAGGCAAAAGCTTCCTAACAGACACCATCTTTTATATTTCTATATTCTATACAAAGTTGAGCAAAAATTTGCATTCAACGAACTTACAGAAAATATAAACAAGAATAGGAAGAAAAAAGATTACAATCAATCAGACAAGATCATTGGTCGTCCATAGCAATGTTAATATATCTTTGTAAGTCAGAATTATTTCCTATGATAGAATCCAAGAGTACTTATTGGTAGGTAGATGGTAGGTAGATAAGCAACCCATCTTAAAGTTACTATAGTCCATGCTAACACATCTGTACCAGAATCCATTATTTTACCTACTGCATTCACTAGCATGTGTTATCTTTCTAAATACAAGCATTAGAAAGAAATATTGAAACAATAGAGCTGCATTTTTATTTCCTTTGACATCTCTCACATGATTACTAAATAATTGGTAAGTATCAATAGCAAAGTCTATTGCTTTATTCAATAGACTGGAAGAGAAGGGATGTCGTCTGCAGAGAAAAATGTTATGAAGCGCTATATGTTTCCATTCTGCCCATTTATTTTCTAAGTAAAATATCATCAAAAGGAAAAATATCACAGTATTATCCTGGTTACTTTATTAACATTTAGCATGTGGAAAAATTATATCGACCCTCTTTGATGGATGTTTATTTTGTGTTTACTCTTTCTCCTTTCTGAAGTATTTAGACGAATTTTATGTATTGATTCACTCTGCCATCACGGCAAACACTAAGTTTTCAAAACCAAATCCATTTCCCCTTCTTTTCTTGTAGATTCTGATTTTGTTGAGGGTAGTAAAATGTCACCCTAAAAATCTATCTTCCAACCTCTCAGTTACCTAGAAGTAGCCAGCTGACAGAGTCTGGCAGTGATACGAGAATGGAAGTCTATGGGGAGAATGTTCACACCATAAAAAAAGACACAATGCTCAGAGAAGCCTTGTTTGGCCTCTTTCCCTCCTCTTCCTTCTTCTTATTTGTTTTTTAAATCTTATCATGTGTCCTCTACCACTTATTAAGCAAAAAATCAAAAAGATCCTCGCCACCACCATAATGCAGGGAAAAAAACAAAAAACAAAACAAAACAAAAAAAAACAGGGGTAGGGAAGAGTAGGAAACAGAGAATTTCCTTCCTTCTGATCTCAGAGCAAAACTTCTGAGCCTGGGACAATCTGACCTCTTAGAGACATTTGGCAATGTCTGGAGATACTTGGATAGTCATGATGAGGTGGGGGTGGGGTGCACTACCAGCATCTGGTGGATAGAGGCCAAGGATGATGCTACACATCCCTATAATGTACAGTACACTCCCCCATAACAAAGACAAATAATTATCCAGCCCACAATGACAACAGTGTCAAAGCTGAGAAACCCTGAGGTAGAATACTGTTATCTTCTTCTCCCCCATTTTGGGCCCCAAAGACAGACACGAGTTTGGAGGCACATCAGTGACCTTGTGCCCATGAGAAGAAAGGTTTCGAGATAATAGAAGAAGCCTGATAAAATGCTTAAGCAACTCTCTTCTCCTGACTTTTTATTATGTGAGATAAATAAAGCTTTATTTGCTTAATCCACGGTTAGCCAAGTTTTCTGTTACTTCATAGCCAAATATATTTATAAATAATACATTTACTATTCATTTATGGTAGACTCTATGTTCAGACATAAAGGTAAGCTATCATTTCCGAATGACATGATAAATCAGGCATGTCTTTTGATCTCTGGCAATTCACTGTGCAGTGAGAAAGCCAACCATTAGAAGTGTGAAAGGTGGGCTACTCCCAGTATAAATACTGTGTTGTGGGAGCTCAGAGTAAGGGTACAGGAAGGAAGCATCATGATGAAGGAAAGACCACCCAAGGAACTAAAATGTTTTTCTGTCCTATCATTGGTGTATATTTGGTGGGGTGGGGTAGAGGGGCAGGGAATGGATCAATGAAGAAAGATTAGCATAAGCAAACCACAAAATCCTAAAATGGTATGTAGTGTTGGGGAAAATAGTAATTAAGAGTCTTGTGAATGGACTAAAGAGTGAATTCAGAAGGGGGGCCAGGAGGACAGTGTTTTAATCTACATAAGGAGGTTTAAGAATGAATTGTGAAAAGCATTGAGTGGCATTAGGGTTGTGGACTTTGGCATGTAATAATCTATAAGGAGCCACTGGCCAATGTTAATAAGATCATACCTATATTTCAGAAATAATAATAATAATATTAAGTCTAGAAGACTGGACTTTGGTGATTTCATTTACAGATAATTAAAACATAACTGAAAAATCATATCTTCCTATTGACAATCCAGTAAGATGGAAACCGACTGCAAACTTCACTTCAAAAACTAAGCCTTTAAAATGTGGCAAAGGTATATGTTACACAGCTGCAGTTTCTAATACTACTGTTACTTTTAACTGTGTTTTGCTTACAAAAACTACAAATTAGTATTTGTTAGGTAATTTGTGAAATAACTCCTTTGTGTAAAAATAATAAAGAATTATCAAGATAAACCATTACTATGTTAAAAACTGTTTCAATACATGAAAACCCAGAGAGATACGTCACTCAAAGCTATATCTGTATTAATATTGTCTCACAAAAAGTTGTCAATAGCATTAAAATGTATGTGAAAAATTTTATAAAAAACTCAGATCTCAGATTTATAACTGTATTTTATAGTTCTAGCTACTTAATTATCCTATAAAGAAAACCAGAAACAGCTAGTTTAATGTAATTTGAAGGGATATGTAGATCTTGGCACTGGATAACCATGTGAAAATAGTAAAAGCAGAATAAAATATAAGAATTTCAGAGTTGGAAGAGACTTTGGAGAGTGATCCAAGAAAGTCATCCAGGAATGCATAGGGTCATCAGGCCTTCCAACACCCTGCAAATGAAACCAATGGAGTTCTCAGCCTACCTTCTTTAAGTGTATATTTCACCTTCAACTTCAAAGCCATTCAAACATTTACATTTGAAAATATGTTATTACTAAATGTAAGTGGAAAATTTCACAAAATAAAACTATACTGAGGGAATAAAGAAAAGATTGACAGCAAGTACTTTGGGGGTGGAAGAAGGGAGACAATGGGAAGGACGGGAACTAAAGAAGCTTTTCTTACTCCACACTACTGGAACTCTAGTAGAATCTGCTGAAAGATTGACTCCCTCAATTTCTGCTTATGTTAAGAGGATTGGGAAGACTAACTGCAGAATAGCAGGCTTACAGAAAACAGTTACTTCTTTTAATCAAACCATGTAATCAGAAGGCCTGAGTAATGATTAACTTCCACTTTCTCTGTGAATCACTCAATCACTCTGCAGTGCAAGTAGACTTAGATTCATTCTCTGCCAAAGGCACAGTAAATTTAATGTTTTTGCATTTAACATTTAATATTTTAAATATATGAATGGCCCTTGCTTCTGAGCTCATTTCAAAAACCTTGTGTTCTGCTAGGTTACAATGGCTGATAGAAATGCTGAGACATTTTATAGGTTTTACACTCAAACATAGGTACACATACCCTTTCTCAGTGACATTTTAATATCTATGATCCTATTAATAATTGAGCACAATTAATGGTGAGAAATGCATTAAGACCCTGTAATTTTCATGTACAGCATGACAACTCAATTGACTTAAGCAAAAATAGTCTACCGGAGTTTGAGTATAAAAAGAGGGAAAATGAGTATATTAACTACCTGTAAAAATGCAGAGTAACAGATACTGGGTTAACTATACGAATTCACGTTTCCCAAGTGTTATATGTATCACTATGGCCCTGGAAATGCAAAAAGAAATAGTACCTTTGTGGAGGCCAACTGTTCATGATTTAGAATTATCACAAATGAATCAAATATTGGACATGTAATATCCCTCATCTCTATAACACACTAACAACCTCCTCTGGAAGAAATTATTCCCAATGCAAAATCTCAACCTAAATAATTTTAAATTCAGGTGGTTTTTCATTTCTACTCACAAGGCATTGTGTTGAGGCGGGCAGGAGTCGGTGGAGAACGGTTTAAATGTTTGGAATACCTTCTCTTCCCAGGAGAGTTTATTGCCCAATAATGCATAATATATTAGTTGCTCAACGCGGGGGATCTAGGGAGTGACATCTTGACTGGAAACACACAGATCTGAAAACCACCTCTCAGGAAACGTTGTGGGGAAGAAGAGCAACTTTCTTATCCCTGTCAAACTAACCGGCGGAACCAACCCCAGAACTAGCCGGAGGGCCTGGGGAGAGCAGAAGGCTGAAAGCAGCTCCTCTGCGCTCCGCCGAGGGTTCAGGCAAGGGTTTTCTTCTGGAGGCGGCATTGTTCCTCCATCTGCTCAGCCTCCGTATTTCGCCAGGAAACCCTCCCCGCTTTCTCGTAATCTGTTCCTTATTTCTTTTGTACCTCTCAGCCGATTTCCATGCTCTTGGTCTCTGTGGTCCCAGGGCACAGCTCTAGGGTGAAGAGCTGCAGTGACTGGGGCGCCGCTCTAAGGCTTTGGAGGCGACTGCACTCCGCCCGGGCTCTGGCAGCGTGAGCGCCGCACAGTCGCTCGCTCCCTTCTCTCCGGTCTCTCCGGCTCGGACGGGCTCTCCCGGCCTCTCATCACCCACTCCGACTCGCCTTTCCTGCCGTGTCTCCCCACGCCAGCTCCGCGCGCTCGGCGCTGGCCGCCCGGGCGCGCTCTCCGCGCCGCCGCCTGATCCTCGGCTTACAGCCGCGGCGCTCCCCCGCCCGCCCACAGGCCGGGACTCCGAATTGAAGGGTCAACCCTCCGCGGGGAGGCGGGGAGGAGCGGCGAGGAGAGCTGGGGCAAGTGGGGAGCCGCGGGTGGGGGGACTGACGGGGGAACGGGAGAGTGAGGCCAAGAAGAAAGAAGATGCATCTGCTCCGAAGACGCCAATGAAGAAAGGACAGAGGGGGCAGGAGTGGAGTGGGGGAGAGAACGCCCACCAGGAGGGTGGGCAAAACGGGCAATTTACAAACTGCCGGGGCTGGAGATGCCGCGCGGAGGAGGAAAGAGGTTAGCGGCACAGAAGAAGAAATGAGGGGAAGTTCCCACATCTCCCCAAAAGGTCACGTTTGAAAACCGTGTCCCTTGAACGGGAGTTAAACAAGCGACTGGCCATGGTGTAAAAGGTGGATTTAAAAGGAAATTTAGTGTCATGTACTTATTTAGACACGGCTTCGTCTCGCTCAACTCTGGCAAATTACCCTCCAAGTAAAATGTATTGGTTTTATGCAGAAACGGAAGGCGAATCTCCTCCACTGTGGACTCCTCCTGAGATTGGTTTGTTTGCTGGTTATCTTTCTTTTTAAATGAAAAAAAGCGTTTGGGAGCTTCCATGAACCCCAACGCTTAAAAAAAACCACCCAGTTTATTAAAGTTCATTATTTTTTATTGCTTTTATTTTCATCAGAGGATAGGGTGAGGGACTGGCATCTTCAGATGTTTAAAACACTTATTTAGGTAGCATTATTTTTTATAAAGGACACGATTTCCTAAAACCGCCAGAAAGGCTATTGGAAAACTCAGCTACTAGCCTGGGAAAGAGAGACGCATTTAAACTCAAATAGACGATTATACCTCCAGCACCCCCCACCCCCACCCCAATGGGATTGGAAAAGGGTTGAGTTTACAGAAGAGAGAGAGCAGAGAAGGGTGGGTGGAAGGTGGGGAAGGCGAAGGAGAGGCAGGGAATAGGAAGTTCTCGGCAATCCCCGGGATTAAGGTAAACGCCGGAGCTCGGCGGACGCAGGAAGCTCCCTTACCTTTCTCTCTAAGCCCCGTTTGCACCTGATCTGCAACCATAAATACTTCGTGGTGCTTAGTGTGCAGCCAAACGATGGCCAAATGTTAAACAATTCTTCACGCTCCCTCCCCCTTTTAAAAAACAGGCTCAAAAGAATGTTAATAGTGTTCTTGTTATCCATCGGCTCCAAAACATTCCGTTTCGTGGGGAGGAGAGACGAAAACCAGGCCCTTGGGCACGCGTATATGTATTTATATATTATGCGGTCGGTATATAAACATATATACGTTTCCTGCATGTAAATCCAAAATGAAAAGCACCACAGATGCTTCTGTAAACGGGAGGGGACAGCGAAGAGCAAAACTTGGCAAGCCAAATGTATCCAGAGATTTCGTACCAGGAGCCACCTGCTTCAATATGCAGAATTTCCGAGAAGATTTAGAGGGAGAAGGAAAAAAATTAAAAATAAAATACCCAAAACACACACTTGAAACTGGAAGACACCTATGAAGCTTGGAAATGGAGAGGATGAGAAGATCTCCCGGGGCTACAGATCCTCAGCTAAGTGAGCAATCGCCTCCGAAAATCATAGGCGGGGAGGTGGCTGCAGATGCGTCCCCTGCTCCGGTCCCCGCCGCCGCCGCCGCCGCCGCCACTGCTACCTGTAGACACGCACACACACACGTACACGCGCGCACACACACTGCCACCTTCTCTCTCTCCCTCTCCCCTCACTCCGTGGCGTTGTCGGGTGCAGGAGTCTGAATCAAGCCAGACCATCCTCCAGACCCAATCCTGCCCCCCTCAGAGCCAGGACTCCCTCCGCTGCCTCCCTCTCCCCGCCCGGTTTATTGCACAGCGTCCCCTCCCCTGCGCGCCCCTCCCGCCGGTCGGAGGCGCGATCTTGGTGGGGGTGGGCTTCGGGGGCGCGGGTCCGGCGGTGGCAGACTTGGTGCTGGTGATGGCCCCTCCCTTTACAAGTTCCGCCCTCCTCCCTTACTCCTCCCGCGGCAGCCGAGCGTCCTCCGCCCGCAGCTTCCGCAGCGCCCGCGGCGGCAGGAGGGGTGAAGGGCCCAGGGAGTCACGTGTGAGGTTCGCCAAACCACTCAGAGCGGCGTGTGAGTGAACGGGCACGACCGCCCAGACGCGAGGCGTCGGACGCTCTGAGTTTCTGTCTTCTCGGCGTCATCGTGCTCCGGTTCCAGGCGTTTTCGTCTTGGTGACGGAGAGCGCGGAGTTGGAGGCAACAGCCTTCCACTGTGCCTCTTCTTTCCCCCGCCCCCCTCTTTTTGGTAAATCTCTAGCCACCAAACTCCCCTCTCTTTCCTCTGCTTCCTCTAGCTAGAGGCAGAGTAATCTCTGAATTGAAGCGTTCGTTGGCTGTAGACTGTTCCGTGCGAGTAGTGTGAACGCAACGCCACTGCCTTTGGCCTCTTCCTCCTGGCTGTGCCCACAGCTTCTGCCGCTGGATAGGTGATTTTAAAAAAATCACAGCTAATCATTGTTGGCTTTTGTGACGGGTGTGACTCACTGTAGCACATTGTTTACACCTACCCGCTTCCCACTAGCCTCTCTGTGTGAATTTTTAAATGTAAGTAAGTTGGAAGATAGGGCGGTGCCTACAGAACCACTAAGTTAACTGATTGCCACCTGTAATAATCGTAACCCCAAAAGGAAAACCTAGCAGTAGAAAAATCGCTAGAAGTGACACGTGAACTAGAGATATGTTTTTTCTCACCATTTAAGAGCTTGCTTCATATTTCTCAATCTCATGTATGCTTTAATCTCCACAATTCAAGTAAAAGAAAGGAACTTTAACATTTACACTGCAATGGCCCCTATCACTCACTCATTAATTAATAACAGTAAGTAAGAAACCAAGGTTCTACCATTTCCGCTCTGATTTTTAAAAAAACAGTCTTAAATATGACATGTTCCTTTGGCTTAGAGGAAATTCAGTACCACATTGTCTTGATGTCGTTTTAGAATCCAGTCTATCTTGTCATGTTTTTCTTTTTTTAAAAGTAAATTTTAGGCTATATGTTGACAAATCCAGCAGATTTCGGTAATGCTCCCAAGAAAGTGAAGTTTCTTTCTACTAAAACATGCATCTGATTCTTGGTAACAGGTGTACCATGCCCAACTTGCACAAGTTTGTCTAATTTGACAACCTAAACCCTTTGAAATTTGTCTGGAATTTCCTAAGAAAGTTGAGAAATAAGTATCTATTTCAATATTTGTGAAAGTACCTAAATGGGTCCTGTTAATTTTCATGAGATTACATCGTTAACCTAACTTGATATAGGATATGATTTTGACAAGCGAAGAATAAAAAAGAAATAAGGATGATTCTATAAAGTTCTCCATTATAATTTACATAACATAATGTTTTATATACTCTCTTGTATCCCAAGGCTGTGGGCACCACTTCCTAACTATATTTGCTGAGGTTAATATCAGAATCCTAATGGTAATAACTAAGCATTTTTCACTTCCAATATTTGGTATTTATAGTACGAGATTAATTTTAAATAGGTTCTATTGTGGGTTCTTTTCATTATTTTCATGGCTACACTTTATCAGTTGGCCATTATTACCTCATTCCTGTGAGTTAGTTTTACAAAAAGCCTAAGCATTTTAACAAAATGAATTGTTACACAAACAGCATTTATCACAATCTGTAAATACAGACGAATGAGCCAAACCTCCTTGCTCATTTTTTTCCCACTATACCAATCAAACCCTCTTAAGGAAATAAACCCATCCCCTACCATTTGATCTCAAAAGCAATTACATAGCAAGAAGTTTTGTTTTTTACTTTTTCTTTTGTTGGTATGTAGTTAAGGGCTGGGACTCTCGAATCAGATTGCCTGAGTTTGAATCCTGGATTGACAAATTGTTATTGCCCGGTGCATGTCACTTAATCTCCTTAAACTTCGAATTTCACCACTGCAAGATGGAGATAATTATGCTCCCTACCTTGTAGAATTGTTGTAAGGATTATCCAAAATAATGCATGTAAAGCACTTGGCACACAAATTATGTAATTCTTCAATGTTTCTATTTTTAGTATCTTCATGATATGTTTTCTGATTCAAACACCAACACACATGCGTGTGTTTGTATGGATATTAGATTAGTGTTAAAAACTGATAAAGACATTTGTTGGCAATATATGGTATCTGTAACCAGAAAGTCATTAGTGATTTTAGAGTGATTCCTAGGTCCTTCCTGCCTTTTTTTTTCTTTTATCTTTATCTTTTTTTTTTTTTTTTTTTTTTGAGACAGAGTTTCACTCTTGTTGCCCAGGCTGGAGGAGTGCAATGGCACAATCTCAACTCACCGCAACCTCCACCTCCCAGGTTCAGGTGATTCTCCTGCCTCAGCCTCCCGATTAGCTGGGATGACAGGTATGCACCACCATGTCTGACTAATTTTGTATTTTCAGTAGAGACGGAGTTTCTCCATGTTGGTCAGGCTGGTCTCGAATTCCCGACCTCAGGTGATTCTCCCACTTCGACCTCCCAAAGTGTTGGGATTATAGGTGTAAGCCACAGTGCCTGGCCTTGCCTTTTGTTTTTCTTATGGTATATTTGTCTTCTATTAATTAACTTTAATATTAGACTAAACATATTAAATGTGAATGATGACATAAAAAAGACATTAAACACATGAATAAGTGATAAAGACATCAGTAAAATATAGAAGATTTGATCCAACTTACATTGAAAATCATGTGGCCTTCTAGGTTGTGACATTAACTGTGCTTGTGTGTACTGCCTTTTACCATGTCAAGAATTGTTTGAAATGAGTACTGGAACTCTGGAAAGTCAAACACAAATAAAAACCCTACAAAGCTTGCCTACACATGTCTGCTCCTTTGTAAATTTGGAAGGAGACTTCAATGTAGCAAATAGGCAGAGTATTAGCATTTTCTGAAAATGTTTTCTCGAAAGAATCTTAGTATGAAAACAAATCTATGAGTGAGAATAAGGAAAAATCACTAGAGAAGTAGAGAAATCAACTTTATAAGCATGAATCTATTACCTAATCATTGTTATGTTAAAATTTGTTTTTCCCAGGAATGAAAATGAAAATATTGGAAAAGAAAGCTAGGCTTGAGTGTAAATAGCAAATTGTACCTCAGACACCTCAATAGGGTGTAGACTCAGCGTGCTTTCAGTCCAGAGGTCGTTAAGTGGAAAAATGTTTTTCTTTCTTTTCTTTTTTTTTTTTTTTTTTGAGATGGAGTCTCGCTCTGTCACCCAGGCTGAAGTGCAGTGGCCCGATCTCAGCTCACTGCAAGCTCCACCTCCCGGGTTCATGCCATTCTCCTGCCTCAGCCTCCCAAGTAGCTGGGACTACAGGCGCCCGCCACCATGCCCGGCTAATTTTTTTGTATTTTTAGTAGAGATGGGGTTTCACCGTGTTAGCCAGGATGGTCTTGATCTCCTGACCTCGTGATCCACCCGTTTCGGCCTCCCAAAGTGCTGGGATTACAGGCGTGAGCCACCGCGCCTGTCTAGATGTTTTTCTTTAGTAATTATTTCTATAAGGAAACTTAAATAGCATGTTATCTTAAAGAAAAAGCAGGAATATTACTCATTCTTTGGAAAATCCCAAAGACCCACAGCAGGAGATTAGCACATAGTTTTTCTTTCCCAAGGCATTTAGGAAGAACAAATATTAATAAAATGTGATGCTTAGATGAAATTATTTTGCAAGTTTCCTTATAAATTAGATGTACTTTACTTAAAATTGGTTAAATATAAATAATATACTGAGAAAGAGTTTATAGGGCAATGACGGCTCATATTTCTGTTCTAAAAGAAAAAACAGAGCCAAATAGTCTTTGAGTTGTAGCATTGCCAAGTGGACCCCCTGCACAGCTTCCTGGTAATGTCTTATTATAACCTGGACAAAATATATAGATATTATTAATACTAACAAGACGGAATCTGACTTCTAGGGTCACTAACATAATATCCAGTTAACCAGAATCCACATGGTCTCCAGCTCTAGTCTATTCACACACCATCCCTCTAGCACATATGGTCTGTGCAGCTTGGCTAAATCCATCCTGTTTTTATCTAGCCCTGAAAAAGTCAAACCCCGTTTCTGAAACCCTTTAATAAATCTGTATTTTCTGTCATGTGAAATACAAACTTCTTATCCTAGGAACCAAAGCTCAACAGGCTCTCAATCCCACACATCTTTATTTTGGACTATCCAAATCACCATCTCTACCTATTGGAAAACTACCAAAAATGTTATCTTAAAGATCCCCTGAGCCAGAAATTATTTTCATTTTCCCTTCTTCTCTGACTAATTTGCACGTCCCATAATGCAATAGCACAGCCTATCTTGTGTCGTCATTATTTCTGGATCGTTTGATATCTTGTTTATAAGATATAAAATAATCTCTCACTCAGGAACTTGTACATATCCATTCCTTCTCCCCAGACCTCTCTTCCTCCTGATAGCTATAGGCTCCCTCCCTCATTCGTATAGGTCTCTGCTCAAGTGTTACCTTCAAAGAAATATTGCCAGGCACGGTGGCATACTCCTGTAGTCAGCTACTTAGGAAACTGAGGTGGGAGGATGGTCTGAGCCTATGAGTTCAGGGCTAGCCTTGGGAACATAGCAAGACCCCATCTCTAAATAAATAATTTTTAAAAATCTCCGCTGACTCTGTTATCTAAAATAGCATTCTCCTCCCTGTTCACTCTCTGCCTTCTTAAATTCTTGAATTTGCTTGAACATACTTATTATAATCTGATTATATTTATTTGTTTGCTTGCCAGCTTTTTTTTACCCACCAGAAGATAAGTGCCATGAGATCAGGGACTTAATTTAATTTGTTTTGTTTACTGCTGTATGCTGTATACCTAACAGTATGCCTGACTCATTTTGGTACTCTAAAAGTAGTTCAGTTAATGTGTGAAGCCAAATTGACTCAATAATAAATTTCCAGGGCACGATTATAGACTATCTCTAACTTTAGCTAAAAATTGAGCATACAGGCACAAGAATTTTCTCAGATATCCTTGAAAAACAATTTTTTAAATGAATGTCTTACATAAAATACATTAAAGCTATACTTACAGGACATGGACCCCACTTTTTTGAGATAATTTTTAGAATGAGCATATATTAGCCCCAAATGTTTTCATAAAGCAATTGTGCCATATTTTCAAAGATACTTTGCTCATTTAAGAGCCAATGGTACTTTATTACATGACAGGTTGCACATTTGCTCATTTCCCAGAGTTTTAGTACTTTCAACTGTGTATCTAGGGTTGTGTGTGTTTGTGTGTGTGTGTGTGTGTGTGTGTGTGTGTTTTAGGTTCTAAAGTACATTTTTGGTAATTATTTAAGAACTTGAAATTTATAGAAGCAGTTATTAAGCCTAAAATCACATTTACGATGTACCTATGTATATAGCTCTTAAGAAAGCTAAGATTGTGTTTTGTGTGTATGTATGCTGGTAAAGTTTATTTACACTACATTCTCTCATGTCAATCACATTTAAGTCCTGGAAGTTTGTATTTCTGTATTTACATACAGAATTAAGTACCTTCCTGAGAAAATGTAATTCAGTAAATGAGTTTTCACTCATCAATCCTTTGAGTGCCAACTGTACCTTTTACTGCATTATTGAAGAATGAAAAGAACTATGAGACATGGTCTCTTCCAACTTGAAGTTACAGTATCTCTGAGGTAGCATCCTACCTAGACCTTATGATACCCTCATTCATAATACAAAAGGACTTCCTAGGGAAGGATATTCTAAGCAGAAGACTAACATATTTAAAGACATGAGCTCACTAGAGAACAAAATGTGTTCTTAAAGGTAAGCAGCTCAATTTAGCTAGAGCATGGAGAGGTAAGTAGGTGAGGGGAAATAAATGAGCTTGTATGTAACCAGGGTGAGATAATGAGGGGACTTGTGTGTCAGACAATTAAGTTTGGACCTGACCCTTCAAGCAGAGTCAGTGGGGAGCTTTAAGCAAGGAAATTGTGTGATCGTATTTGCTTTTTAGAAAAGTCTGTCTGTAGCAACATGGGGAGTGAAATAAGGAAGGAGAGGCAAAACTAAAGGCAGGGAAGCTAGTTATGAAATTATTGCAATAGTACACAAAAGAGATGAAAGGGTGTCTGAACTATGTAGCAACAACAACAACAAAAAGAAGTTGAATAGTGCATTACTACTTTTTTTTAAATGTTCGATGATCTTCCATTTCATTGTTAAAAATACAGACATCTTTCAACATCACCCATCCTCTTTATAATGAAAGTGATAGAAACTCAGCTCAGGCCCAATTAAGTGAAAAAAGCAAACTCCCAAACTCAGTTACCTAACTGAGAAGTTGAAGGTGCATTTAGCTCTCACCCTGATTGTATTCAGAGCCTTAACTGAGGTCCTTAAGTTTTTCTCCTTTCATTTTCTTCATTCCTTGGCTTGCCTTTATTTTCAGGAAGCCTCTCTTCACCTTTGGGGCAGGACGCCTGTCAGCAATTCCAGACATACTCTTCAGGGCAACATCCCCAGGGAAAATTACCTTGTTAACTACAGAAAAGAAATCCTATGGAGGACTTAAAATGATTTTGCTTGGGTCACACTTTCCTTTCTGTGACTGAAGATGGGGTTAATTTTATTGACCAAGTGCAGGACACATCATATACCCCTGTATGAGGTAAGGTAGCACAACAAGATTTACACATACAGTAAAGGCCAATGTAGGAAAAGCCTAGGGTGCTTACCAAAAGAAGAAAGGTGAAACAATTTGCTGGGCAAACTTTAACTTCAGCCATAATAATAGTTCACCACATGCTACTCCCAGTTTTTCTCCCTTTTTTAGCCTCTTTCCAGTTCCTTCAGTCTTGCAAAAGTGGATTCTTGAGGCTGCAAACCTACAAATCATGGCTTCCCACCTCTGCGTCTCTGTTCAATTTGTTTATGTTACTTTAATTCCTTTTCTATCCCTGCCTGTTAAAATAGAAGTTCTAGAAATTAATGACTTGTATATATTCTGTGCTTCACTGAAGAGACTTGTCCAAGCAATTGATTAGATATTCAGAAGACGTAAAAATACACAAAGCAGAGACACTATCCTCAAAGAGCTTTTAATTAGAAGGTTAAACAAAACACATATACAAACAAACAAACACATATACAAAACACAAACAACACAAGTGAATTAAAGAGGGCAATGGAAACTCAGTGAAGGAAAGGAGCAAGGACTGACTGAAATTCAGTGCATATTTATTTTGAAGGAATAAAACGAACAAATGAAGGAAGTGATGTAAATGAGCAAACTGATAAAACATAGAAATTTAGATCATCCAGAAAGATAAAAAGATTAGGCTTTTCACCATAAAACGTAGAGTCATCAAGAAAAAAATGGGTTTTGGTGCTTTTATTTTATTATATTTTTATTATTATACTTTAAGTTTTGGGATACATGTGTAGAACTGGCAGGTTTGTTACATAGGTATACACATGCCATGGTGGTTTGCTGTACCCATCAACCCGTCATCTACATTAGGTATTTCTCCTAATGCTATTCCTCCCCTAGCCCCTGCACCCCCTGACAGGCCCCAGTGTGTGACATTACCCTCCCTGTGTCCATGTGTTCTCATTGTTCAACTCCCACTTATGAGTGAGAACATGTGGTGTTTGGTTTTCTGTTCCTGTGTTAGTTTGCTGAAAATTATGGTTTCCAGCTTCATCCATGTCCCTGCAATGGACATGAACTCATCCTTTTTATGGCTGCATAGTATTCCATGGTGTATATGTGCCACATTTTCTTTATCCAGTCTGTCACTGATGGGCATTTGGGTTGGTTCCAAGTCTTGGTATTATGAACAGTGCTACAATAAACATACGTGTGTATGTGTCTTTATAGTAGAATGCTTTATAATCCTTTGGGTATATACCCAGTAATGGGATTGCTGGGTCAAATGGTATTTCTGGTTCTAGACCTTGAGGAATCACCACACTGTCTTCCACAATAGTTGAAGTAATTTACACTCCCAACAGTGTAAAAGCATTCCTATTTCTCCACATCCTCTCCAGCATCTGTTGTTTCCTGACTTTTTAATGATTGCCATTCTAACTGGCGTGAGATAGTATCTTGTTGTTTTGATTTGCATTTCTCTAATGACCAGTGATGATGAGGTTTTTTTCATATGTTTGTTGGCTGCATAAATGACTTCTTTTGAGAAGTGTCTGTTCATATCCTTTGCCCACTTTTTGATGGGGCTGTTTTTTTCTTGTAAATTTGTTTAAGTTCCTTGTAGATTCTGGATATTAGCCCTTTATCAGATGGATGGATTACAAAATTTTTCTCCGATTCTGTAGGTGGCCTGTTCACTCTGATGATAGTTTCTTTTGCTGTGCAAAAGCTCTTTAGTTTAATTAGATCCCATTTGTCAATTTTGGCTTTTGTTGCCATTGCTTTTGGTGTTTTAGTCATGAAGTCTTTGCCTGTGCATATGTCCTGAATGGTGTTACCTAGGTTTTCTTCTAGGGTTTTTATGGTTTTAGGTCTTACATTTAAGTCTTTAATCCATCTTGAGTTAGTTTTTGTATAAGGCTAAGGAAGGGATCCAGTTTCAGTTTTCTGCATATGGCTAGCCAATTTTCCCAACACCATTTACTAATAGGGAATCCTTTCCCCATTGCTTGTTTTTGTCAGGTTTGTCAAAGATCAGATGGTTATAGATGTGTGGTGTTATTTCTGAGGTTTCTGTTCTGTTCCATTGGTCTATATATCTGTTTTGGTACCAGTGCCATGCTGTTTTTGTTACTGTAGCCTTGTAGTATAGTTTGAAGTCAGGTAGCATGATGCCTCCAGCTTTGTTCTTTTTGCTTCAGATCCTCTTGGCTATACAGGCTCTTTTTTGGTTCCATATGACATTTAAAGTAGTTGTTTCTAATTCTGTGAAGAAAGTCAGTGGTAGTTTGATGGGGATAGCATTGCGTCTATAAATTACCTTGGGCAGTATGGCCATTTTCACGATATTGATTCTTCCTATGCATGAGCATGGAATATTTTTCCATTTGTTTGTGCCCTTTCTTATTTCCTTTAGCAGTGGTTTGTAGTTCTCCTTGAAGAGGTCCTTCATACCCCTTGTAAGTTGTATTCGTAGGTATTTTATTATCTTTGTAGTAATTGTGAGTGGGAGTTCACTCATGATTTGGCTCTCTGTTTATCTGTTATTGGTGTATGGGAATGCTTGTGATTTTTGCACATTGATTTTGTATCCTGATACTTGGCTGAAGTTGCTTATCAGCTTAAGGAGATTTTAGGCTGAGATGATGGGGTTTTCTAAATGTACAATCATGTCATCTGCAAACAGAGACAATATAACTTTCTTTCTTCCTATTAGAATGCCCTTTCTTTCTTTCTCTTACCTGATTGTCCTGGCCAGAATTTCCAATACTATGTTGAATAGGAGTGGTGAGAGAGGGCATCCTTGTCTTGTGCCAGTTTTCAAAGGGAAAGCTTCCAGCTTTTGCCCATTCAGTATGATATTGGCCGTGGGTTTGTCATAAATAGTTCTTATTATTTTGAGATACATTCCATCAATACCTAGTTTATTGAGAGTTTTTAGCATGAAGTGGTGTTGAATTTTATCAAAGGACTTTTCTGCATCTATTGAGTTAATCATGTGGTTTTTGTCATCGGTTCTGTTTATGTGATGGATTACATTTATTGATTTGCATATGTTGAACCAGCCTTGCATCCCAGGGATGAAGCCTACTTGATTGTGGTGGATAAGCTTTTTGATGTGCTGCTGGATTCAGTTTGCCAATATTTTATTGAGGATTTTTGCATCGATGTTCATCAGGGATATTGGCCTGAAATTTTGTTGTCGTTGTTGTGTCTCTGCCAGGTTTTTGAATCAGGATAATGCTGGCCTCATAAAATGAGTTAGGGAGGAGTCCCTCTTTTTCTGTTGTTTGGAATAGTTTCAGAAGGAATGGTACCAGCTCCTCTTTGTACCTCTGGTAGAATTTGGCTATGAATCTATCTGATCTTGTGCTTTTTTTGGTTGGTAGGCTGCTAATTACTGCCTCAATTTTAGAACTTATTACTGTTCTAATCAGGGACTCTTTTTTTTCCTGGTTTAGTCCTGGGAGGGCGTATATGTCCAGGAATTTATCCATTTCTTCTAGATTTTCTAGTTTATTTGCATAGAGGTGTTTATAGTATTTTCTGATGGTAGTTTGTATTTTTGTGGGATCAGTGGTGATATCCCCTTTGTCATTTTTTATTGTGTCTATTTGATTCTTCTCTTTTTTCCTCTTTATTAACCTGGCTAGCAGTCTATCTATTTTGTTAATCTTTTCAAAAAGCCAGCTCCTGGATTCATTGATTTTTTGAAGGGTTTTTGTGTCTCTATATCCTTCAGTTCTGCTCTGATCTTAGTTATTTCTTATCTTCTGCTAGCTTTTGAATTTGTTTGCTCTTGCTTCTCTAGTTCTTTTAATTGTGGCAATTTTAGATCTTTCTTGCTTCCTCCTGTGGGCATTTAGCACTACAAATTTCCCTCTAAACACTGCTTTAGCTGTGTCCCAGAAATTCTGGTACATTGTGTCTTTGTTCTCATTGGTTTCAAAAAGCTTATCTATTTCTGCCTTAATTTCATTATTTACCCAGTAGTCATTCAGGAGCAGGTTGTTCAGTTTCCATGTAGTTGTGCAGTTTTGAGTGAGTTTCTTAATCCTGAGTTCTAATTTGATTGCACTGTGGTCTCAGAGACTGTTTGTTATGATTTCTGTTATTTTGCATTTGCTGAGGAGTGTCTTGCTTCCAATTATATGGCCAATTTTCGAATAAGAGCAATGTGGTACTGAGAAGAATGTATATTGTGTTGATTTGGGGTGGAGAGTTCTGTAGATGTCTATTAGGTCTGCTTGGTCCAGAGCTGAGTTCAAGTCCTGAATATCCTTGTTAATTTTCTATCTTGTTGAGCTGTCTAATATTGACAGTGGGGTGTTAAAGTCTCCCACTACTATTGTGTGGGAGTCTAAGTCTCTTTGTAGGTCTCTAAGAATTTGCTTTATAAATCTCTGTGCTCCTGTACTGGGTGCATATATACTTATGATAGTTAGCTCTTCTTCTTGCATTGATCTCTTTACCATTATGTAATGCCTTTCTTTGTCTTTTTTGACCTTTGTTGGTTTAAAGTCTGTTTTATTGGAGACTAGGATTTAAATTCCTGCTCTTTTTTGCTTTCCATTAGCTCGGTAAATTTCCATCCCTTTATTTTGAGCCTAGTGTGTCTTTGCATGTGAGGTGGGTCTCCTGAATATAACACACTGATGAGTCTTGACTCTATCCAACTTCTCAGTCTGTGTCTTTTAATTGGGGCATTTAGCCCATTTACATTTAAGGTTAAAATTGTTGTGTGTGAATTTGATCCTGTCATTATGATGCTAGCTGGTTATTTTGCCCATTAGTTGATGCAGTTTCCTCATAGTGTTGATGGTCTTTACAATTTGGTATGTTTTTGCAGTGGCTGGTACCAGTTTTTCCTTTCCATATTTAGTGCTCCCTTCAGGAGCTCTTGTAAGGCAGGCCTGGTGGTGACAAAATCTCTCAGCATTTGTTTGTCTGTAAAGAATTTTATTTCTCTTTTGCTTATGAAGCTTAGTTCGGCTGGATATGAAATTCTGGGTTGAAAATTCTTTAAGAATATTGAATATTGACCCTCACTCTCTTCTGGCTTGTAGGGTTTCTACAGAGTGATCCGCCGTTAGTCTGATGGGCTTCCATTTGTGGGTAACCGATCTTTCTCTTTCGCTGCCCTTAACACGTTTTCCTTCATTTCAACCTTGGTGAATCTGACAATTATGTGTCTTGGGGTTGTTCTTCTTGAGGAGTATCTTTGTAGTGTTCTCTGTATTTCCTAAATTTGAATGTTGGCCTGTCTTGTTAGGTTGGGGACGTTCTCCTGGATAACATCCTGAAGAGTGTTTTCCAATTTGGTTCCATTCTCCCTGTCACTTTCAGGTACACCAATCAAACATAGGTTTGGTCTTTTCACATAGCCCCATATTTCTTGGAGGCTTTGTTCATTTCTTTTCATTCTTTTTTCTCTAATCTTGTCTTCACGCTTTATTTGATTAAGCTGATCTTCAATCTCTGATATCCTTTCTTCCGCTTGATTGATTCGGCTATTGATACTTGTGTATGCTTCACGAAGTTCTCATGGTGTCTTTTTCAGCTCCATCAGGTCATTTATGTTCTTCTCTAAACTGGTTAATCAGTTAGCAATTTGTCTAACCTTCTTTCAATGTTCTTAGCTTCCTTGTATTGGGTTAGAACATGCTCCTTTAGCTCAGAGAAGTTTGTTATTACCCACCTTCTGAAGCCTACTTCTGTCAATTCGTCAAACTCATTCTCCTTCCAGTTTTGTTCCTTTGCTGGCAAGGAGTTGTGATCCTTTAAAGGAGAAGAGGTTTTGTGGTGTTTGGAATTTTCAGCCTTTTTGCACTGTTTTTCCTCATCTTCCTGGATTTATCTACCTTTGGTCTTTGATGTTGGTGATCTTCGGATGGGGTTTTTGTGTGGATGTCCTTTTTGTTGATGTTGATGCTATTCCTTTCTGATTGTTAGTTTTCCTTCTAATAGTCAGGCCCCTCTGCTGCAGGTCTGCTGGAGTTTGCTGGAGGTCCACTCCAGATCCTGTTTGCCTGGGTATCACCAGTGGAGACTGCAGAACAGCGAAGATTGCTGCCTGCTCCTTCCTCGGGAAGCTTTGTCCCAGAGGGGCATCCACCTGATGCCCGCTGGAGCTCTCCTGTATGAGGTGTCTGCCGACCCCTGCTAGGAGGTGTCTCCCTGTCAGGAGGCACGGGGGTCAGGGACCCACTTGAGGAGGCATCATCTGTCCCATAGCAGAGCTCAAGTGCTGTGCTGGGAGATCCACTGCTCTCTTCAGAGCCGGCAGGTAGGAATATATAAGTTTCCTGAAGCTGTGCCCACAGCCGCCCCTTCCCCCAGGTGCTCTGTTCCAGGGAAATGGGAGTTTTATCTATAAGCCCCTGAATGGGGCTTCTCCCTTTCTTTCAGAGATGCCCTGCCCAGAGAGGAGGAATCTAGAGAGGCAATCTGGCTACAGAAGCTTTGTGGAGCTGTGGTGGGCTCTGCCCAGTTTCAACTTCCAACCAGCTTTGTTTACACTGGGAGGGGAAAATCACCTACTCAAGCCTCAGTAATGGTGGACGCCCCTCCCTGCATCAAGCTCGAGAGTCCCACGTCAACTTCAGACTGCTGTGCTGGCAGCGAGAATTTCAATCCAGTGTATCTTAGCTTGCTGGGCTCCGTGGCAGGTGGGAACCGCTGAGCTAGACCACTTGGCTCCCTGACTTCAGCCCCCTTTCTAGGGGAGTGAATGGTTCTCTCTCGCTGGCATTCCAGGCGCCACTGGGGTATAAAAAAAACTCCTCCACCTAACTCGGTGTCTGCCCAAACAGCCACCCAGTGTTGTGCTTGAAACCCAGGGCCCTGGTGGTGTAGGCCCCCGAGGGAATCTCCTGGTCTGCAGGTTGCAAAGACTGTGGGGAAAGCATAGTATCTGGGCTGGAATGCACTGTTCCTCACGGCACAGTCCCTCAGGGCTTCCCTTGGCTAGGGGAGGGAGTTTCCCAACCCCTTGCACTTCCAGGTTGAGGTGACACCCCACCCTGCTTTGGCTCACCCTCCATGGGCTGCATCCACTGTCTAACCAGTCCCAATGAGATGAGCTGGGTACCTCAGTTGGAAAGGCAGAAATCACCCACCTTCTGCATTAATCTCACTGGGAGCTACAAACTGAAGCTGTTCCTATTCGGCCATCTTGCCAGCTACCAAAAAAATGATTTATTTTTAATTTGGAGGAGAACTGAGCATGTTTAACGAAGAAAGATGTATTAAGTTCATTAAGAAAAAAAAGGTGATAAATGTAAGTTTCTGTCCAGAAAAGGAAAGAAAAATGAGATCCAGAAAAATAAATGGAGTTCAAAGCTAACTCTAAAAACATATATTTAAATGATTTTTTAAAAGAGCAAGAAAATGTTTTAGGAGAATCCCTCTTAAAATGATGATTGGCTTAAACTTAAAATGGCAAAAATTTGGTTCAGAGTAAATTTCCCTGTTTGTAATGAGTAAATGTGTTTTGTTTTCATATGCTCAATTATAATTTATGGACTACATTAAAGTAACAAAATACTTCTTTATACAATATCAAGTGCCTATTTCTTAATAATCTAGTTCAGTTCAAAGTATAAACATGTTCTTCCAGTCATTTATATATAAATAGAGTTAAGTCTCCCTTACAGTATTAAGAAATCAATATAAATATTTAATGCAAAGGAAACGAGATGATTTAAGTATCTTAGGATTCAAGCTGGAGATAATTGCCCTCTCACATTTCTTTCTCATTTTCTGTCTTTCAGAGAAATAAATGTACTATAGTTAATGCTTAAAGTAGTAATTATAATTTTTAAATTCATAAATCAGGTTGCAAGCCTGAAGTAGCAGGTTCACATTTATTCTAGTACTCTCACAATGGAAAATATAGTAGAAGTACTCAATATGTGTGATGTTATTATGAAAAGGAGCCTTTTAGACTTTACCTTAAGCTCATATTATTATATCTAAGATTTTGGTTTATGTAATAGCTGCTTTGAGCTAACTAAACCATTTTGATCGCTAGAAGGTGATAGATATTTGCCCCTACACATATAGAGAGGTAATGTGCAGCCTAGAAGGATTTCCTAATAGAAATTTTCCCTTTCGTAAAGATTGCCTGTGGGTGTAGGAGCCAGGTGAAATGTGGCTCTAAAGTGGGTAGGCATGATGAAAATGTGCACTTAAGAGCCATTTTATTTTTCTGAGTCAAATCTCATTCCTGAAGAGTCCAACTAGATCTCATTCCTCTTTCAAAAAAGAATCTCAGATATGGCCCTCTCTATTTATTTATTTATTTTTAGCTGGAGTTTCACTTTTATTGCCCAGGCTGGAGTGCAATGGCACGATCTCGGCTCACTGCAACCTCCACCTCCCAGGTTCAAGCGATTCTCCTGCCTCAGCCTCCCAAGTAGCAGTGATTACAAGCATGTGCCACCACGCCCGGCTAATTTTTGTAATTTTAGTAGAGACAGGGTTTCACCATGTTGATCTGGCTGGATGGTCTTGACCTCCTGACCTCGGGTGATCCACCTACCTCGGCCTCCCAAAGTGCTGGGATTACAGGCGTGAGCCACCATGCCCAGCCCTCTTTTTCTATATGTTACCAATCAAATGCAATATACAGAGGGGTAAGGAATGTGGGAATAATGTACCCCCATAAATTATGTTAAGTGTTTACTTCTCAGCCTCATCTTCCAATGAACTCCTTTGAGCACCCAGCCCCTGGATGCTACATTTAGTGATGTGCATAAACATTCCCCCTACTTGCTTTTACTTCACTCTGGTTTCTTCTTTTTGAGCATTCCTTTTCCAAATACTTTTTTCTCTTTATCTTTTTAACCCCAATACTCTTGAGCCAAAAAACGTAGATTTCAGTTCAAATGTCTCCTCTGCCATGAAACCTCCTTCCTTTACCTTCAAGATGGAAGTAGTACTTTTTCTTTTGAACTTCTCTGGCACTTCATCTGTAATAACTTTGTTGCAAGCATCACCATTTGCTTCTCAGTAATTTTTATTTATGCATTTTCATCTGCCCTGTTTGAGAAGTGGTTCACAGATTGGTTTGTTTGTCTTAATTTGCTAGGGTACCCGGCACGTGGTTTATCTTGCACATGTAAATACTTCATAAATATTTATAATCAATGAATAAATGAATAAAAAGAAATATGTAAGAAAGAAAATTTATTAAAAGGTCATTGCACACGTATCTGCAGCCAACTGACCTTTGGCAAAATTGCCAAAAATATACAGTGGGGGAAGGACACTCCTTTTAAGAAATAGTGCTGGAGTAATGGGATTGCCACATGCAGAAGAATAAAATTGGACCTATACCGTTCACCATATACAAAATTTAACTCAAGATGGATTAAAGACTTAAATGTAAGATCCAAAACTATAAAAATACTAGAAGAAAACCTATAGAACTCTTCTGGATATTGATCTACGCAAAAAATTAATAAGTAAGACTTCAGAAGCACAAGCAACAAAGACAAAAATAGACAAATGGGACTTAGTTAAACTAAAACACTTCTGCACAGCAAAAGAAATAATCAACAGAGTAAACAGATGACCTATACAATGGGAGAAAATGTTTGCAAACTAGATATCTGAAAGGAGGCTAATATCCACAATTTACAAGGAAATCAAACAAGTCAACACCCACAATAATAACAAAATAACCCCATTGGATGTGGAGCCAGAGGCAGGGGAAAAATAACCCCATTAAAAAGGGGGCAAAAGATATGAATAGACATTTTTCAAACACGACATACAAATGGTCAAAAAGCATACAAAAAATGCTCAAACCTTACTAATCATCAGAGAAATACAAATTAAAAACACAATGATGTATCATCTTAAACCAGTCAGAATGGAATGCGTGTATATATACATAATGGAATGTGTATGTGTGTGTGTGTGTGTGTGTATATATATATAGATACACATATAATATATATACAGAAAATAGAAAGTACACACACACACAATTGAACACTATACAGCCATAAAAATAATAAAATCATTTCTTTTGCAGCAATATAGATAAAACTGGAGGCCATTACTCTAAAGTCAAATAACTCAGAAACAAAAAGTCAGATATCACATGTTCTCAGTGAGAACTAAATAATGGGAGGTAAATTATTAGTAGGAGCTAAATAATGTGTACACATGGATATAGAGTTTGGAATGATAGACATTGGAGACTTGAAGGTTGGGAGGATGGGTGGGGGTGAGAGACAAGAAATTACTTAATAGGTAAAATGTACGTTATTCAGGTAATGGTTACACTAAAAGCCTAGACTTTACCACTACTTAATATATCTATGTAACAAAACTGCACTTGTACCCCTTAAATTTATATAATTTTTTTAGAAAGAGGTTATTGCAGACCTTCAATGGTGTTCACATTATTGACACTAGAGTGGTGGTGGTATAGATAGAATAGTAGCAGTGGAAATGGATGTAAATGGAAAATTATGAAAGTTATTCAGGAGATAGAACTGATAGGACATGGAGAGGAAAGTGAGAGAGACAAAACACTGGAGACCATCTCCAGATTTCCTGCCTGAGGAGTTGAGTAGCTTATTGTGCCATTTACTAAGATAACCAATTCTGAAGAAATAGCAGTTTGGGGAATAAAAAATAATTTACTTTCTTGGGATATGTTGAATTTTAGGTACTTGTGGGAAATCCAAGTGGAAAACAGCAGCTAGGCATTGATGATAGATCTGGAGTCAAGGGGAGTACTGTGGACATTGTGGATATTGTGGATATTTGGGAACTGTCAGCACGTGCATGATGGATAGGAGAGATCGTTAATCAGAGTGTAAAAACAAGGAAGAGAAAAGGGCCTCTGACACAGATGGGTGGAATAACAGCATTTTAGGGTGTACGTACCAAAATGATCTTAAAAAGGAGAAAAAAGGAGGTGAAAAGCAGCAAATGCTGGTGAGAGGATAAAAATGAGAATTGTAAAGTGTCCAGTGTGGACACTGGTGGCCTCAGTGAAACAGTTGTTGTGGAAAATTCAGGACCGAAGCCAAACTAAAGTGTGTTAGCAGTCAGTTAGAGGAGAAGAAACGAAAACAGTCATCATGAACTTCATTCCAGAAGTTTGACTGTAAAGAGAAGGATAGAGATCGATTTGTAGCTGCAAAGAGAAATTGGGTCAGGTATTTTTCTTTTTGATTTTTGCTTTTACTATCGGAGAGATTAACTTTGAATTGTTGATCGAAAGAACCAAGTAGAGAGGGTCAGATTGATAACAGAGAGAAGGGAAGGTTGATAAGGTTCTTGAGAATGTAGAAGAGCCTGAAAACTAAAGTTAAGAGGATGGCAATAAATGCAGATACAAGTAAACTCGCAGAATTTGCAGGGAAGTTGAAGGAGCTTCTACTTGATAGTATCTATTTGATCAATGGCATAAAACTCAAAGTCATCTTTAAATTTTGTATGTGAGTATGTGTGTTTATCTGTGTTTGTGTGTAGTGTAGAGAAGTACTGAAAGTTTGAAATGAACAAGCAATATTTAAAGCAGCAAATATATATATATATGCTTATATATGTGTCTTTATATATATGTAAGTTATTAAAACTAAAAGCTAAATGTAATGTCATGTTATGTCATATTTAAAGGACATAATATGGGGCCAGACACAGTGGCTCACGCCTGTAATCCCAACACTTTTGGAGGGTGAGATGGCGGATCACCTGAGGTCAGGAGTTCGAGACCAGCCTTCAACATGGTGAAACCCCATCTCTACTAAAAATACAAAAATTAGCTGGGCATGGTGGCAGGTGCCTGTAATCCCAGATACTCGGGAGGCTGAGGCAAGAGAATTGCTTCAACCCGGGAGGCAGAGGTTGCAGTGAGCCAAGATCTCACCACTGCACTCCAGCGTAGGTGACATGAGCAAAACTTTGTCTCACACACAAAAAAGACATAATATGATAAAGAGAATCTTTGTGTGTGTGTAAGTGTGTAAGTGTACTTGACCATTATTTTATGGATTTAGGTTTACAAGGCTAGTGGTAAAGAGCCTGGTGCACAATTTTTGCATCAAGGCAGCTGGTATAACAAAAATAAATATACAGGTTAAAAAGTACAAGGCTCTGACTGTGTAGGTCTAATTCCTATGCTTTGCCCTAGGAATAAGTAACTGAATGCAAAGATAGGCATATATTCCATTTAATTTTGCATACATACACAAACACTGATAATAATAATAGTAACAATAATAGACAACAGCTATCAAGAGCTTTCAATGTGTCAGACACCAATCTAAGCTCCTTACATGATCTTCACAATAATCCTTTTAAATAGGTATTCTTTACTATCTCCACTGCACAGCTGAGGAAACAGACACTGAGTGTAAAAAAATTGACATTATTTGGGAATTCACAAACTACCACATAGATAGTAATTTCTGGAGCTAGGATATATAGCAATGTATAATATATAAACTCATTACCTTTTTAATAAATTTCTATACATTATTAACCATACATTATTTACTATGTACATTTATCCAAGTTTATTACTAAATAAAGCAATAACATTTATTTGTTCTGGATTCCCAAAATGGCAGTGTAAGTTCAATGATTAAGTGCTCTTCTCACACCAAACTTTTATCAATAACTTTTAAAAAATGATATGAAACGGTGTAGTTATGATGGTGAACTTTATAAGTCAATTTGACTGGGCCACAGGGTGCCCCAGATATTTGGCTATACATCATACCGGGTGTGCCTGTGAGAGTGTTTCTCGGTGAGATCAACATTTGATTCTGTAGAGTAAGTGAAGAACATTGCTCCCCTCAATGTGGGTAGGTCTCATCCAATTCATTAAAGACCTAAATGGAACAAAAAGGTGGGAGAACAGAGCATTCTGTTTCTCTTCCCACTGTCTTTGAGCTGAGACTTTAGTCTTCTCCAGCATTTGAACTTGGATGTGGGGCTTACACCATTAGTTATCCTGGTTCTCAGGCCTTCAGATTTGAATTGGAACTTTACAATTGGTTCTTTTGGGTAGACTTGCCAATTGTAGATCTTGGACTTTAAGTGTCCACAATTGCATGACACAATCCCTTACAATAAATATTTTATTTATGCTATTCAAGATATACATGCTTTGTTTCTGTTTCTCTGAAGAACCGTCATACAGTCATTATGTTCAAAGACAAACATTTTCATTGGCCCAAAATAGAAGAGAAACACACAGTGTTAAGAAAGGTTAAAGCTACAGGCCTTGCTGGCTTCTAGGTCTGAAAGAAAGTAAAAAGCCACAAGGAAGTCAACTGCTACAAATAAAAGAGATGAAAAGCATCCAACACACAGCAAAAACCAGAATCAGGCTCCATTGTGACATCAGGGACTAGGACTGATAAAAACGCTGACCTCTGCCTAGGTCTGCTCAGTGGGCAGGGTAAGAGACCACTGTATAACCTGGAAATGGGTCAGGCCACCCACTGGCATGGAGGTGAGATATGCAATGTTGCCACATGTGTGGCAGAGAGATCATGGGTACAGAGAGAGAGAGAGAGAGATAAATTAACTATTTAGAAAAGGCTAGAAAGAAAGCATAAGTGATAAGCTATTATTGAGGAAAATCAAATAATAAATAATATAATCCTAGAGATAAATTCACTCCCAGTGAATTGAAAATAATAGAACAATCTAAAAATTACTTTAACCTAAGTATATTTAGTGTTGTCAAAAAGATAGAGGAATAAATAGCACACTTAAAAAATAAAAACTGAGAAACCAAAAACAACCAAATATAAATTAAGAACAGAAAAAATACAGAAAATAAGTAATCCTGGAAGAAAGCTGTAATTACTAAAAAAAATCACTAAAAAAGTAAAAAATGCAGACTGGATAAAGACAAATATAGTATTGAGGACTTCGTTCAAAACATAGCAGGGAAAGGACAAGGTGGTAAATGTTAAATATTAAGAGAAGTTATGGATCCAGGTGCTTCTGCCTAGGGTGCAGAAATATGTAAAGAGTGTTACTACTGCTCTGAGGACAAGAAAAAGCCAGATAAACTGCAAAATCATAACTTCTCTTGAACCCATCAGAGAGCTAAGTAGCCTGAAATCCAAGTCAAGACATGACATAAGCATGCTTCACCTGTGTTAGAGCATGTAAGGAAAAGATGGATGTCAGGGACACATGAACAAGTAAGAGGAATCCAGCTGGAATGTGAACAAATTTCTAAAGGCTTAGTTTAAGCTTGGGTAAGAAAATAGAATCCCTCAGAGCAACAGAGGTAAGTGGAATCCACACCCACTCACTATCTCTTCTCTACAGGCTTCCTTCCAATGCATACTAATAACAAAGATGGCAGGCATGGAGATTACAGAAAGCTTCTCTCACTGGTGCATGCCTGGAGGAAGGAAAAGCTCCTTTCCAAAGAAAAACCAGGAAGCCAGCTAGACCCTAGCCCTTATAAAACAGAAGTCTTTAGCCCCTGGAGGAGCATGTAGCAAACTATTGCTCCCAGAGCACAGTGGAAGAAGACTTATTACAGCTGAGAAATGGATAGATAAAAAGGAACCCTAAATTGCAGATGATGCCAGATACGTCTGCCAAAATGTTGGATTTTTCTCTGTGATGTCAGGTTTTAGATCTTTTGCTTTTAAATAAAGATATAATGATGAATAAAATTGAATGACTTCTTGAATGGTTTAACTTAAACTTAGCTATTAAATAAAAGGCTAAAGAGATTTAGCCAACTGGTAGTGTTCTTACTCTTCAGAAAATCACCTTTTTCACTGTTGCCGTATTATTCTTTTGGCTTTTACTGTTGTTACTTTAAAAAATTATTATTAATTTAATATCAATGACACAATGCCCATATACCTTCTTATTAGCCTGCATACTTATCCATATTCATATGTTATAATATGACTATAAAAAGATAATATTCTCTATCATTTAAAAAACTTCTGTTAGGGTGTTTTGAGAAAAGTGTATTCCTAAACCGTCAAAGTCTTGATCATTCCCTGAAGAGAATGTTGTACTACTGCTGACATGACAACAGGCTTACTTTTCTCCAAACTCTCCCTAAGTTTGACTTTGAGCATAACTCCAGGCACAAGTGAATACTTCCCCAGTGGCTCTTCCCAGTTGAGAAGAGGTTAGGAATGTTTGCAGGCCTCTGCCACTGAAACTGTTATTTTAGCCTCATTATTAAAACAGGTTGTACTACCTAAGTTGCTAGATTGTTTAGAGGTTACACGAAATAATGAGGTAAGAATTCAGAATCAAACCAATACCCATTAGGAACTGTAATTAAAGACTATTTTTATCCAAGCAAGTTAAATGCCCTCAATAGCAACTGGGATCACACCCTGGAAGTTAACCTCAAGAGCCAAATATTTTCCTGCCATTGCCTAGGGAGAATTCACTACTAAAAAATTACCTCAAAGAACGAACCAAAACAGCAGAAAAATTCAGGAACATACTCTCTGTACGCTGTCTAATAGTCTCACCTGTACTTCTAAGATGGTAGCCTCAAAAACTATCGGTTTAACTGTGGCCCGTACCCACTTCATTCTTGGTCACTGGACAAATGTAAGATGGCTCTAGTGAGCTACTTGCTCAATCCCAGTATTCACATACAACCTTGTGATTTCTTCATTTTGCCTTTTTTTTTTTTCAAATTGATGCTCCTTTTAATCCAACCTTATTTTTTCTAGAATCCTAGTTTTGTGGTAAATATATTTATCCACATATGTTTTACCTAATGTTTCTTCAAACTCCCTACATCAACTAAAACCAAGTTGGAACATAGGTTCCCCTGAAGACAAGTCAAGTGGTGACTGTTCATATTCCTATACCTGATTCTGTTACCTGAGAGTGCAGAAAGCACAAAATCTCTTAGCTCACCATTGCTGCCTCCGGATACATTACTTTTTCTCTTAAATGTGAAATATTTCCTCACTAGATGCATAATAGTTGGTAACACTCGACATTTGTCACCCATTGACATTCTGGTCACTTCCCCCCTGTTTGTTGAACATTTTGATAAAATGACTTGTGATTTTTCTTTTCATTACAATCCAAGCTATCGGTATTTGTCCATTTTCACAGTTTTGTAAAGAAATACCCAAGACTGGGTAATTTATAAAAGGAAGAGGTTTAATTGACTGACAGTTCCACATGGCTGGGGAAGCCTCAGGAAACTTACAATCATGGTGGCAGGCGAAGGTGTTGCAAGGACCTTCTTGACATGGTAGCACCAGGGAGAAGCGCAAAGCAGGGGAAATGCCAGGTGCTTATACAACCATTCGATTTCGTGAGAACTCACTCATCATCACAAGAATAGCATGGGGGAAACTGCCACCCGATCCAATCACCTCCCTCCCTCGACACATGGGAATTACAATTCAAGATGTGATTTGGGTGGATACACAGAGCCAAACCATATCACCATCATCATAGGAAAACTCAAATTTCTCATGATTAACCATCAACACTTCAAATGCTTAAAAATGTACTTAAAAATGCTTTCCATAATTGAAAATTCTAGGATAATGATACTTTCTAACAACCACCAATAAGCTTATAGAATTCTGTAGCTATTATAACGTAAAAAGAGAATCCATTTCCTCTTTCTGTTTAAATATACCAAACCATTGTAAAACTATTCAGCAGTTGGACTATGCTTATACAAAGTACAGCTTATTCAGCAAGGAATAACCTGTTTAAAGGTAATATCATCTGTATGTAAATATATGAAGAAGTAAAAGAATTAGTATAGGATACAGAACACCTAAACTACAAAAAAGTCACATACAGCATTTAAAAACTATCAGTGTATGAGTGCATATCAAAAACTACAAATAATTACCTTGTGTATGTGCACTCTTCAAGAAACCCTTTGCTAGGGGGTCAAAGGAAATAAGGAAATAAGGAAATAGTTCTGTTCCCATCCGTTTGGATTCTCTTCCTCATCATCTAGTGCTGCCATCTGCTGACCTCTTCTGCATCCCACACTTTTTGTGTCCCACATTGGAGCAGAACTGAGGTTATTAATTTTAATAGTAGAGAATTCTCCAACTCCCTGGATAAAGGTTCCTTACAGTCAGACTCCTTGGAGGCTTTATCAGTGGTATTTCTGTGACTTGTAGCCACTCCATTGTCGGCACAATTTAAGAAGACTTGTCCTTCCAAAAGCCCTGAAAAATGCCAGGCTCAGCCACTTACTACCTGGGAATGGCCTTTCTGCCCTGCATGCTCTCTGCTCTGTGCCTTCTGGCTCTTTCTCAGTCCATCTGAACTGTGTTTATTGGAGCTTCCAGGCTGAGTCCTACCTCACAAAGGCTCCCTCTCTACACAGAAAACATGAACTCCAGATTGCTTGATTGTAACATCTGATATTGCTCCCAGCTTCAGTTACCTGGAGTTTTACTGCTTAGCTGTTTGTGTTTGCTTACTATAGGCTGTAGGCATAAACGACATATGTACAAAAACAAAATATCAGGATTCAGAGAATTTCAATAATTGTTGCAGGAAACAAGAAATGATCTGACTACAAAACAAATAATAGAGTTCCTAAGCAGTACTGAAGAATCAGTTCATGATGAACACACATTCTGATTAAAAAGAAAACAACTAGTTACATGGTTTTCTCAAACAGCATTTACAAGAGCTGAAAAGGAAAGCCATTTAGTTGAGTTCATTCAGGTTTGCAGGTTGGCCAGGTAATTGGCAAGGGGGTTCAGAGTATTGAAAAAAGGGTAATTAAAATTATGGATCGTGGACTCTGCTGTCTGGAAACCCTGATGTCAGAAAACTTGTAGTGGAAGTAGACAAACAGATAACTTGAAGGTAGAAAGCTGTCATCTGACAGTAAGATATCTGAATTAGTGACTTCACAAATGGAGCAGTCCAGAGAAATACAAATCAAGATTATGACCATAGAAATTGAGAACTGCTGTGGACTGGTGAAAAATATCACTGAATGAGTATCTAAAAGTCATGGAGGACAGAATACTGAGCTCCTCTCTCTCTGGACTTGCACAGTGGACCATGTCCCAGTCATTAAAAAATGAGAAGGAATGGTCAGGAGGTTGATTAATAATAGCAATGAGGCCGAGCACGGTGGCTCACACCTGTAATCCCAGCACTTTGGGAGGCCGAGGTGGGAGAATCACGAGTCAGGAGATCGAGACTATCCGGGCTAACATGGTGAAACCCCATCTCTACTAAAAATACAAAAAATTAGCAGGGCGTGGTGACACACACTTGTAGTCCCAGCTACTCAGGAGGCTGGGGCAGGATAATTGCTTGAGCCAGAGAGGCGGAGGTTGCAGTGAGCTGAGATCACACCACTGCACACTCCATCCTGGGTGATGGAGCAAGACTCCATCTCAAAAAAAAAAAAGAAAAAAAAAGAAGAAAAAACAAAGCAATGAAGTAGAGAAAGTGAGATAGCGTAGGAACCAAGAGTTGGGCAGTACGGAGAATGAACGGTGGTCTGGAAGCAGCTCATGGGAGCAAGGAGGACACCAATATCACATGAGGTAAATGGGTTTTGAAAGTATCAGCCTTCTCCAGGTGAGGTGATATGGTTTGGCTATACCCAAATCTCATCTTGAATTGTAGCTCCCAAATCCCCATGTGTCATGGGAGGGACTTGGTGGGAAGTAATGGAATCATGGGGGGCGGGTTTTTCCTGCGAAGTTCTCATGATAGTGAATAAGTCGCATGAGATCTGATGGTTTTATGAAGGGCAGTTCCCCTGCACGCACTCCCTTGACCGCTGCCATGTAAGGTGTGCCTTTGCTCCTCCTTTGCCTTCTGTCATGATTGTGAGGCTTCCCCAGCCATGTGGAACATGAGTCAATTAAACCTCTTTTTCTTTATAAATTACCCAGTCTTGGATATTTCTTCACATCAGGATGAAAATGGACTAATACATGAGGTTTCTGCAGAGCATATGCTGTTCTCAGGGGATAGACAATTTTCAGTTAGGAAAAGAAATTTGGAAGAATATTCTGAGAAAAAATGTTCAGAAAATACATGTTTTAATCCTGGGGTCCCAGGAGCTCAGGAGAAGCAGGGAATTAAAGAAAAATTCTGTCACAGAAGAAGTACACACTTTTGTGTAGCTTTCTGTATGCAAAAAGTAGATGAAAGATGGACTAAAACTGAAAGACAGAAATAGCAAAGCTAGGAATGGCGATTTCACTCTGTCAGTCTTTCCTACCATTGAGGACACTTTAACCTAAATGAACTCAACTGCAGCCCAAACTGAAAGCCTAAGGCTTGGGGCATAGGTTCAGGTATTTCATTTCCACATCATCTATTTTTTCAACTTATTCAACAAATATTTGTTGAGTGCATACTATGAACCAGGCAATATTCTAGGTAATTAGAATACATTGGTGAGCTAAATAAGCAAAAAAACCTCTGCTTTTGTGGTGTTTCTGTTCAAGAGGGGGAAGACAGGAAACAAATGATAGATAACTCTACAAAACAAAAGAGAACACGACATAGTATGTTAGAAAGCGATGAGTGAGAAGGAAAGAAAAAAATATAGAGTAAGGGGTGGTTATGTGTGACAAGAAGAATGAATTAGAATCTTACATAGGGTGGTCAGGTTAGGACTCAAGGAGATGATTATATTTGAACAAAACTTGGAGGAGACGATGGAATTAGCCACATGGACACCCAAGGGAAGAGCATTCTAGGCAGAAGGAATAGCCCTTGCAGATACAATGACATGACCTGAGAGAGCTGATGGAAGATAATAAGTCATCATGGGCCTTGTGGCCCTTCATAGCTAATAGCACATTGGACTGAAGCCATAGTTACTGAGCATGTTACCTCACCCTTCACTAGGTCAATGGTACATGCAGTAGTTGGTTTTAACAAAGTTTAATGGAGAGATACCACTTTCAAGGCAACTTGCATTGAAGTATCAACAGTTTCAGGAAGTTTTCAATGTTGATGCACAGATGCCATTCACACACACACACACACACATACACACACACACACACACACACACAGAGAGAGAGTGATATCTTACATTATTAGGAAATGGAGTCAAGAATGAATTCATTATAGGAAATGAAAACAGTATAGGATATGAATTATTATTCTGATCCTTATTCAAGGCATATCTAGAAGGACAACAAATGAGAGAGGATACCTGGGGATTGGAGATTTAGAAATTCTACCATCATCATCATTGCATAATGAACACCATGTAGCTAATCATGCCTTTTTATTGCAGTTCACCACTATTTGAGTGTCTGCTGTTCACAGTCTCCAATGACTTCATTAACATTTAGTCACCACTGTGGCTACCGGTAAACCCAGCACTGACTCTTTAAGCCATACTTACTCACCATTGCAAAGAGTTCTTGGTGACCCTAAAAACAAGCCCTAAATGCTGCTGAGTTATAAACTATCACTCAGAACTCTTCCCTCTCTTACAGTAGATTTCAGTTGCTTATATTCCACTTCACTCTGTGGTGAACACTTCACTTCAACATTGTTGTCCATACTGATTTTGATCCTGGTCTCTGACTCCTTTGAGATTGTGCATTTTTTCTAATCCTCCACTCGTCTCCAGCAACTAAATCTTTTCTACTGTAGATTTTCTGGATTGATTTACCCCTCCAGTGTTATTATATTGTTTTTAATTAAGATTCTCTGATTCAATTACTGACCCCTTCTCTCCTTACCCTCATTTTTCAACCTCAGTAAGAAAACCAGATACTATTAATTTCCATTGCTCTCTTCCATATTTCTGATTTTCTCCCTCCTTATCTTTTTGTTTCCTGTTACATAAAGAATGCTACTCTTTTTGCCAAAAAAAAAAAATCTAATTTTATCTAGACTTATTCTTCCTTTCTTCATTTTGGAAGACAAATCAGTTATAACATGGAACTGTAGCCCTGGGATCTTCATTTCATCTAAGCTGTTTCTGTTGTGTATTTCAAGTGGCTACAGGAAACAAGTCTCCATGACAAAAAGGAAATGGGCAGAGGTGATCCTGTGTATGCATGTTTTCTCCAATTGTCTTCAGATCTGGATGAAAGCCTGGGGTTTTAGGATGCCTGGTCTCCAGATAGCCAAGCTTTACTGTAATAAGCGAATTGTACATGGAGATTAACACTAATAGCTACAATGGGAAATAACATTAACTTTGCAATTAAGACAAAAATGTTATATATGCAAGGAAATGGAAGGGTTTTTTATGGAATCATAACCATTTTTAGAGCTGGATGACACTGACAGATCCTTCAGATAAATCCTGAGAGGAGAAAAATTAAATATGTTCTCTCTCTCTCTCTCTGTCTCTCTCTGTCTCTCCCTCTCTCTCTCTCTCTCTATATATATATAGATTTATGTATATATGGATATATATATTATATATGGATATGTATATATCATATATATTATATATAATATTATAGATATGTATATATAATATATACATATGGATATGAATATGGATATGTATATATTATATATATTATATATGAATGTATATATCTATATAAAATCACCTCTCTCTCTATATATATATATATATAAAATCACCTCTCTATATATATAAAATCACCTCCCTCACATGGAGGCATTTTACCACAGGCAATACAGAAATGACGGAGACAAGCTATTCACTAATTAGCACGTGTCTGTTGCTATAGCTTTAAAGCATTTACATCTCTCTGTTTTGTTTCCACCACACTTGGTTCACATCTTTATTATTCTGATCCTTTTTCAAGACATATCTGGAAGGACAAGAAATGAGACCCAAGGAAATAAGGCTTGTCTCTGAAAGTTTAGACTATTTAAATGTACACATAATTTGGGGAGATAATGTATTCCTGAAACACCTACTTCTAATTTAATCAGGAATAATAACCTATATAATAAAAATGTTTTAATTTTTATTTTATTTGATCTGTTTTCCATTTCTTCTTAAGACCCTTTAAGCAAAATAGCACAGAAGTGACAACTGTCAGCTTTAGAATGAAGCTGCACTCAAAATCTGGTTCCTCATTTCCCAACTATAGGACTTCAGGAAAGTTGCTTAACCTCTCTATGCCTCATTTTCCCTCCTTGTAAAATGATTTTCTGATTCATAAACTTGTATTGAGGATTAAATGAGTAAATATGTAATTCATAGTATGCTCTATGAATGAGTAAATATCTAATTCATGGTATACTCTATGGTAATATTTTTGATATGAGAAAATGGAATAATATGGAAAGGAAATGTAAACGTTTTCATCATAGCAAAAGAACATCTTCAATGATGTATCCACTAATGTTCAGAATGTAGTTACTGTTGTCTTGTTTGAAGGTTGATAATCTCCCCTGAGTACACTGATATATCTAATTTCTGGAAATACCAGAGTAATAGACACACTCTGAACTGTGTGATGGCCCACGTCATAACATTCTGTGAGGCTACTTGCCTGCTGACCCTCTCCAAATGAAAGCTCCTCCATTTAATACATGTACATTCACTCTACAGTATATTTTCATACAGTATGTATATGGGCCACACATACTTTTCTGCCTCCACATTAGATTCTGTGTTCCATAGGGCAGGGACCAGATTTATTTATGTTGGTGTCACCACTGGGCAGGAGTGCTGTACTTGTATTTGGATAGAACTTGAATGTTGTTCTAGAATATAAATCTCTTGCAGAAATATAAATATATAAGACCTCCGTATCTTATTTATATTTGCACTGCTAGTTTATAGTGTAAAGCCCTAACTCACAGTGGGCACTCTATGGCTGTTGGTTGAGCCCAGTAAATGTTGAAGTTCTTTTATGATGACTCTAGATAAAGTCCCAAGAATCCCAGATGTAAGTATTAGAGTTTATAGCGTTCAGCTGATAAGGGCTCATTGGTACAACAGCCCACAGAAGCTACATTAAACCTTTTCTTCTTAAATAAAACTAAAATCATTTAGTCACAGATGTTCATTATTTCATTTTAAAAATTAGAAAGGTTGAAATTAAATATACTTTTTATAATCTTTTAAAAAATTATCATTATTTCCCTTGCTTCTGTGATAATAAAATGGCTTCTACTCCTAAATAATTTCCTACCGAAATAAAACTTGGGATTAATTAAATGACATTTTATAAGCTTTAATAAGTGAAGCAAATGTTGGAACCCCAATCAATCTGAAGCAAGCTATCCCTGTTTTATGTTTTCTGTGCATAAATGTGTTTTCAAAGATTCAAGAAGCATAGGGAGAGGGGACAACTTTTTAAGTTGCACACTCTTCCACACCATAGCTGCTATGACTCTGGTAACTTGTACCTGCAAAATCTTCCAGCCCAAGTTCTGTTTCCTAGTGCAGAATTTAGAAACATCATCAAGGATAAAAAACCCATTAATCTTTTCAAATGCACCATTTGTTGAAGGACTGAAGTCACCACTGATCAGGAACTGAACAGATGGAAGAATCTCAGTGAATGCCCGCTTCAATACAAACCACTGAGATGGATGTTTGGGAGGACCAAAATGACAAGTCAAGGGTCATGCTCAGAACAGATGAATTTCATCCTACAGCCTTTATTAGGCTTTGAAAAGGATGGAGAAAGCAAGACCAAACATTAGTTTTGCACTTGCTGTGTGTCATTCACCAGACTATGTCCACATAATTCCTGAAACACAGATAATACGAACACATAATTAGGTTCCATACCACGATGCATCCTCTTTTACTCTAATGTGGTTCTGAAACAGATTTCATTGGTGAATACCAAAAGGACTAAAGGTGGGGGGAAAAAACCAAAATAATTTACTACATGAAGTTACTTGACTTATATTCCTATATTCAGTTACTTTATCCCAAAGACTTGAGATAAGAAAAGATGAGAAGAGAAATAATCAGGTAGAACTGGAAGGATTATTTGGGACTGCCTGTAAATGAAAAGATTGTTGTTTATATTCTGAAAATTGCAAACAGGTTTTTTGTCAAAACCTTGCCATGTCATTTTTAGGGATCATGGTCCCAAATAGCCCTTCCAAAGATGTTCACATCCTCATCCCCAGAACTTGTGAATATATCAGCTCATAGGGAAAATGAACTTTGTAGGTGTGATTAAGTTAAGTGTTGAGAGGGAGAGATTATTCTGGATTATCTAGGTGGACTCAATGTAATTACAAGGGCCCTTATACAAGAAAGAGGGAGTGAGGGGAGTTAGTATCAGAGAAGGAGATATGGCAATGAAAGTAAAAGTGGGAGTGATGTAGCCATGAGCCAAAGAATGTAGGTGAACTCTAGAAGCTGGAAAAGACAATGAACACATTGTCCCTTGGAGCCATCAGAAAAAACACAGCTCGCTGACACCTTGATTTTAGCCATGTAAGACTCATTTCAGACTTCTGACTTCTGGAATGTAAGAAAATAAAAATGTGTTATTTTAAACCACTAAACTTGTGGTAATTTGTTACAGCAGCAAAAGGAAACCAACACAGATGTGATAATTAAAGTTTAGTTTTTAGTGAAAATGTAAAACTAGGTTTCTGGGTACTGAGAGGCCCCAGGAAAAAAAAAATGGGAATATTACATTAATCAAATTGATGGTAATGGGCCACACAGGGGAATCCTATAATCAAAGTTTACAACAGACTAGGGAAGATGCCAAGGGCACGTGATTCTCTAAAAGTAGTGCAAAGCGCATGTGTGAAAAAAGCAAAGGGGACAATAAGTTTTACAATTCATCCACGTTTACCACTTTTGGCAACAATGCATATATAAATATTTCTGAGAGGCATGGGAATATTGCTATTTATCAGCTAGCATCTTTGACTTTATAGCATATAATCTAACCCACAAACACATATTTTATATCTACCATTTGACTACTGTTTATTAATCTCCATTCTTGGTTTGTCTTAAGCAATGAATTACCACTCTATCCTAAAATTACTACTGTCTGATTTGGCACAGGTCCAAAATGAGTACATAAATAGAGTAAAATTGTATACTTGGGATTCAGCAGGTAAAAAATATCAGGGACCACAATACAAAAAATCTAGAATTTTACTTTCAAAGAAACATTTTTTAAAAGAAAAATATATAAATGATTATGGCCAAATTATAGGCATATTAATTTTGGCCTATATCCTTTGTTGTTGACTTTTCAGATAAAAGCATGTTGAGCTTTATTTTGTCTTTACCTTCATAAAATACAATAGTTAAATGCTTAGCTATGAATCCTTCAACCTTTGGTTTATATCCCAGCTCTTTCACCTACCAATGCCTTGCTTAGCTGCCCTATGTTACTTAACATTTCTATGTTTTAGTTTTTTTCATCTGTAACATAGTGATAATAATAGTACCTAGCTCATTAAAATAATTAAATGGAAAAAATAGATATAAAACACTTGGTAGAGTTTTACAGAAAGCTCAATTAGAGGTAGATAGCATCAGCATTATTATTCATTATTTCATTGACATCAAGACAGCAAATTTCCTAACAACTATTTACTATATTCTAGTAATAAATTCCTAAGCAAGTATGTCTATAATGCATTTCATAAAAGGAACTCAAGTTATAAATAGAGTTTTATAATAGCGGGGTCTTCCAGACCTTTCTTACCCTTAATTTAATTAACTGGCCCAGTACAAAACAAACAAAAAAAATAGACTTGTATCAACGTTTTCCCCTTTGGAAAATTGTGGGATACTTTTGCAGCTCAAACATGTTTTCTTTCTTAACATTTATCATAGTTATTTGGTGATTTGTCAATATGAACCTCATAAGGGATACTCTACACAAACTTTTTTGCTACCTGCTCTGTGTTTTCATAGCCCATATTTCACACTTTCAACACTATTTGAAATAATAGTATTTATATGTTGCTGCCCCCAATTAAACTGCTTACTCCTTGAGAAAAAACACTAGTCTTATTTATGGTGAAATGCCATGCATATATTAGGTACTCAAAAATCTATGTGTTGATTAAATGAATAGAATTATTAAAAAATTACTTACCATATTCTGAGCCATTTCAATGCCTAATTCCTGAATAGTGAATCTATGATTTGTGCTACTTGACTCTGAGCTAAAACAGTAACAGATTCTGCATTTACTGTGAATTTCCCAGTAAAGGCTCTGACAGTGGACGTGATCATAACTTGGAGCTAGATGGTAATATATCATTTGTTGCAAATAATATATAGAAATAATATATGCAAGCTCAGGGATTCTAATTTTATTTATTAGCTGATTATATATGTTAAGAATACAGGCAATCAACATTTTCATCATCTCCTCTAGAAAAAGTAAATTAATAGGTTTTTCAGCACAGTGTCTATTCCCTCCCTGTTCGCAATACTTCCCCTTCTCCACTTCCCCTAAATCCTGAAAGCTCAGACTTGACTGGGCTGATGTCCTTTGGTTTGAATGGTCACACTCTTGCTTGCCAAAGAATAAATCATACCTCAAGCTGATAGACTTTTGATAAGCAAACCAGTGAACGGGAGGACACACTTTCAGTAATTGCACTGTAAAATTGTTGAGCTCTAGTTTTCCACTGACATTATTCATGTAAGTAAATTTATAAGTATTATAAAGAAAATTAACAAAAATATTTTTATAATTTATTGTCCAACACCTATTAAAACACTTTGTAATAAAAAGACTATGTACACCAGAATATTTTCACATGACTTTGCAAAAAGCACTAGGTTCAATATATTTTCAAAATAGAATTATCAATTACCAATAAGTCTTTTTTATTTAAGCATCCTGTTTATAATTTGATGTTTTAGAGAATCAGCAATCACACAGTAACTTGCTAAGTAGAGTGAAAACTTGAAAAGTGAAAACCTTCACCTAAATATCTTTATTTTGATGCAGACAACAAAGAAATTATGGTTGTTAAGGGCAAAATACATAAAATTGCACGTGGTTGAATACATAATAGATCTTAAGAATGCCAGCTATTTAAATAACAACTTTGAAAACATATTAAAAAGCAGCAGAAATAAAAAACTGTTTTCCTCCTTTGAAAACTACCTAGACCACACTTTTCTTATAAAAACAGTAGAGGAAGTGCTACCCACTCACCTGAAAGCTTTGTTTCTTCTCTTTCGCATATGGGCTCTCAATTTGATGAATAAAATATTTTGGGAAACAAAGTATAAGAGTCGAAATTACCAGGTTGATTTTACTCTCAAAAACACTTTTCTTCTACTTTGTTTTGTAGTCTGCCAAGCTTATCATACTTTCGGCAGATATAAGCAACCTCTGTTGAATCAGTCTCATGAAGCTAGTTAATGCCGCTAGCAGCCACTGTTACCTGGCAATACTCATCAGAGATGTTTATTATTGTTATTAATCAGTAAGGTGAACTGACATTTAGAATGTTCATATAACAGGCTTAGTGACTCTCCCTATAATCAAAAGATTTTAAAGATAGTCGTAAGATATTTGAGAAGGATCTTGGCTTATTGAAAGAGGCAAACATTTAGATTCAAAATATCTTCTAATTAGTAAAAATATTTACTAATTTGGAGGTTGATATTTTTTTCTGTAAAGACGGAGATAATACATTATTTTTTTGCCTTTGAGGGTTATATATTTTCTCTGCTCCCTCTCCTCCTCCTCCTTCTTTTTCTTTATGTTTCCTCTCTCTCTAATCCTTTAAAAATTTTAAACTTCTCACCTTGTGAGCTGTGCAAAAACAGCTGTGAGCTAAATCTGGCCCACAGATGTCATTTGTTGACCCCTGAATGAATTTACTCAACAAGTGCTTTGAAGCAATATGGTCACTCTCCTCATATAACTTGAAGTCCACCAACAGAAATAGGTGAATATAAAAACAGTTGTTTCACAGTATGTCTGGTACCATGATGTCATATGCTTTCCTATAGTAAAGACACCAGACCCCAACTTCATAGATGGGGCAATTTGTGATTAAATGATTATTAGAAGGCAACCAACCAAGCAAGGTCATCCCACCTTCTTCTGCCTGCTTTGTTCTAGATTCACTGGCAGTTGATTGCTGCCCACCCACATTGAGAGTGAGTCTTCCTCTCCCAGTCCACCGAATCAAATGTCAATCTCCTCTGGGAACACAGTCACAGACACACCCAGAAACAGTACTTTACCAGCCATCTAGGCATCCTTCAATCTAATCAAGTTGACAGCTAATACTAACCATCACACAATGGGAAGGCATTGAGCCAATTTAAGAAAGGATGTGGAATGAGCAAATCTGGATTTTTAAAATATCTCTTTGGTTGCAGAAGTGAGACTGAATTAGAGAAACTCAAGACAGGAGGGAGGTCACCATTGTGGAAGTGGCAGAGAGATATAGAAAAATGGCTAAATTTGAGTAGCTATATATGGAAGGACTAAAGTTGAAATCTCATTTCTGAAAATAACATACCTTCATGACATCTACAAAAAACTAAACTAATGATATTTCCTCATCTATTTCTCCCAGAAGGTTTCTGTGAAGCTCGAGTGAGATGAAGTATGTAAAATAACTTAGCAAGCAGAAAGTACTATTTACTTCTCTCTATAAAGGTAACAGTTTTCATTATTGTGGTCACTTAAATTCAAATTATTAAACACAATAACCTTGATAAAATTATAGCTTGAATAATATTCAATGAGGCAAGTGGGCATTTGCCAACCCTATTTTATCTCTTTTTTTTTCCAAGATCTAGAGGCACATAATTTACTCCAGTACGGTCTGCTGGTAATTTTAGCATCTTTCAGAGGCCAATCTATATATCTGGTCTTCTTGTGCCCTCTCTAGATTTACTTTAAAACTGGAAAAATGGCAAATAAATTATTATCTATAAATACACCCCAGGATTTGTAGGAAGAGAACTATCTTTGAGTTGGGAAAAAAATATCATAACTGCCTGGATGGGTCTCAAGGACATTCCAAAGGCCAAAGGCTTCAGAGCAAGGAATGGATCTGGTCTTTTGGGACAGAGAAAGATAATTTTTTTTTTAGAAAGGAAAGAGAAAGGGAAGGGGGTGAGGAAATAGGGGCTGGTGAAGAAAGGAATCTGGAAAGGACATAAGATGGAATGATATCTTGGGGGAGAGCTAGGAGAGGAACCCAGAGGACTACAGAAAAAAAGGAATGTCTAATTTCAGTCTTAAAAGTGTTTACTGCATGATAAGCGAAGATCTTCTCATCCTTTTTCATTACTCAGGTTCTTTAGCACTTAGGAAATTCTACCTTAGTCATACCATATTCACAAATGTTTTGGGAGGGATGGATGTTGTTGATGATTGCTGATTGTGGATAGAAATTGGCAAGGGAGTTGGGTTTTGCAAGAGAGTAGCATATGGAAGCAGGAGGTTAGGTGATAAAGGAGATCATAAGCTTGTGAAGGCTTGCACATCTGCAGAAAACTTGAGAGAGCTCTGGATTCGCATAGGCCTTGGAGTTGAGGTCACTTACATAACGTACAGAACTCAGAAAAGAAAAGGCCTCTCAGCTGACATGTGGGTTGCAGGATGGCTCAGAATATAAGACTTATTTCAGATAACCAAGTCTATAGCTAAGAAAATTTGAAACCACCTATTGATGTGGGGTGCTTAAAGATAACCAATGAGTAGTTCAACTTAATTCCGAGTGTATATATTCTTCACACTTTGCTTATAGTAGAGAAACCTATTAAATGTCCACATAAAACTAAGGTTTTCTGTCAGTTCATGCTTTGTTTTTAAAAACTATTTGTTTTATCTTTCTTTCTATATAAAAATATAAATCACTGGAAATATATGGCATGTTTTCTATATGATTATCTTAAAATTGTAAGTATGAAACAACATTTATATGACTTCTGGGTAGAAAACAGTATGTCCACTGTACTGATGGAACAATTAAATGTAGAAAATTTAATAACTGATGTAACATAGTGATATAAAATGTAGTAAATTTCATGGCTCTTTCTTGCACACTGTAACTACAAACTATCTTTTAGCATGTGTAAGTTAGAGCACTGAGTTAAACCTCCCACGATTTACTTAGCAGGTCATCTACCACTAGGTAGCTCTGGGAACTTTAACAAGTCAATTCACTTCTCCAAGTCTTTGCTTTTTCATCTGAAATAATGAAAAGTTGAAGGTAATGATCTTCAAATATAATAATTCTATAATTTTTAAAAAATGAATTGCAATGGAAAGGCCAGAAATATGCTGTGCACTTACATGCTGCTGTCTTATTGACAGTCAGGAATTTCTATTTGCATCACAAATACATAGTAATGTGGAAGGAATTACTTATTAATCTATATAACTCTTAAGATTATAGAACAATGGAGTTGTAAGGGACCTCTGAGTACATTCTATCAAACATCTACTTTGGTACAATATGATCAATATATCCCCGAAGTGATCTTCTATCCAGGACATCTCCCATGACAGAGAATTGATTAATAGGTGACATCTTTATGCCTGTTTGCTGGCATTGGGCCCTATAATGGATACTTTTATTTTGATAGCAGTTGTAGAGGGTGATAACCGTTAGGGACTTACTGTAAAGACAATGAAGGTTTCCTCTTTTTCTTTCTGCCCTCTAACTACAGATCCAAAAAACAAGGCTGTTCACTCTTTTGACTCCAATTTGTCATCTGCTCTGTTACTTTCCTGTTATTTTTGATATATATATATCTCGATATATATATATCTTGATATATGTATCTCGATATATATATATCTCGATATATATATATATATCCTCTCTCTCTCTCACACACACACACACACACACACACACACACACAGAGCACTAATTCCTCTCAGTAGTTGGATATAAAATATTGTACACCAGTAAATAGGTCAGTAAGGTCATCTAATGCTAATATGGACAAAGCTGACTTCTAACCATCTGTACGTAACAATGCGTTGGCAGTCAGACCTGGATTCACACTATTTTTTGTCAGTTCTAATGCAGTGTTAGATGAGAAAACAGGTATAAGCACTTCAGTTTTAAGATGAAAAGAATCCTTGAAACATCATATGCATTTGTGTTAAGGAAGATTTGTAAATAGCATGCTCTTCTTAACTTGACAGAGATGGTACCATTTTGAAATGTCAAGCAACCCTTTTTGAGTACAGTTTTGCAGCCTTTACGCATGAAAATATTTCAGTAGCTTAACTAAATAAAAGGCTTAAAGCTCCATACTATCTCTTTTTCTCTCTCTTTCACTATCAGAGAAATGTTGAAAGTGGACTCACCGTTCAATATGAGAGAGGTGCCAAATGAGGGAAAGAACCAGTTATGGAGGAGAAGCAGTGGAGTCTGGGCAAGTTGCCCAAAGTGACACTTGAGTTAACCTTCATATTGAAATTGAAAATGTGAATAATTTTTTTTTCTGGATCCCAACAATAACAATTGTCTTTGAACTTGTGTTACTGTTTTTTGATTTTTTACCAAAGCAAAAAGAGGCAACAAGAGAGTGAGCTATAGAGGCAGAAAGCTCAATGCTTAAATCCAAGCACGGCTATTTACCTGTTAGATGATCTTCGTGAACGTACAGAATCAGTTTAATTTTGTTTTCTAATATGTAAATCGGCATTAAAATGACAATAACTATTTTATAATGGTACTCTGAGGATTAAACAAGAAAAGTATCTGTAAATGATGTATTATGTACATTTTATACAGACATTTCTCAATAAATTATAGATATTATTGTTATTCAGATATATTGGATACATGTATTGAACTTCATTGTACATATTGAAGAATCATTATTAATAAAATCAGGAGACTGAACTCTTAACTTTTGGATTTGTAAAATTTGCCTTCTATTTTAAATAACATGGATAAACAAATAAGCAAAATTGCTCTGACACTATGTATTTTCGCAACTTTGAAATTGAGGATGTTTAGCTTATCATATGCTGCAAAGTCTATAGATGCTTAGAATAGGAAATGAGGCCAAAGGACTTAGTCCAGTTTATTTACAAGAATAAATTCTGAAGTAGCTAAGATGAGAACCTCTTTGGTCAAGTATGCTGGATATTTTCTATTCGCCCCTTCAAGTCCTCTCTCTGCCTTTTATCATGCTGCTTTATATCCCAGAAGATCAACCTCAAATGTCTTTAATAACTGGTTCCCTTGTCTAATGACTTTGGCTTGAGCTCAAATACATAAAATAGGGATTTCAGTCATTGGCCATCAGAACAGTGATCCCTGAAAGAGGGAAAACAAACAAAATGAGACCTGAAATTTCCCAGTTTCCAGGTTGCAGTGAGAATGTAGAATATCTTCCTGTACTGAGAAAACGGTAATGGAATCCAAGAAGGCCAAGCAGCTAGAGAAGACAGCTGTATAGAAAGAGCTCTGGATATCTAGAGAGTTCCCCTAGAGTCTTTAGCTGAGACATCAGTGAATGCGTTGTAAGAAAACTACCTAAGGCCTGGGGAGAAAAATAATAGAAAAGTGTAGGTGGAACAATCTTTGGAGCTAATACAGTCCAGGAGGCCACCAGTTCGGTATCCATGGAATTAACCAATATCAGATGAAAAAATATTTCAAAAAAAAATAATAAAATATAACAATAAAAATAGCAGACAATTTTAAAATACAGTATAACAATCATTTGCATAGCATTTACATTGTATTAAGTGTTATAAGTAATCTAGAAATAATTTAAAGTACAGGGAGAATGTGCATAGGTTTTATGCAAATATTATGCCGTTTTATGTAAGGCACTCTAGCATTCATGATTTTAGTACCCATGGGGGTCCTGGAACCAATCTTCTGCAGATAACAAAGGATGACTGTATATTTCATATTTTCAAGAAAGTAGAGAAGATGGAGCAGTTTAGATAGAGATGTGAAATGTATATTTATAAATATTTAATAAACTCTTATAGATGAAAAAATGTAATGTCTGAGATGAAAACGGTACTGAATGGGATTAAAGACAGATTAGATACAAAAGATTAAAACATTAATGAACTTGAAGACACAACAATAGAAAATACCCAAAATAAAACATGGAGAGAAAAAAGACTGAAAAAAACAAAGGAACAGAGTATCTGTGAGCTATAGTACAACTTCAAATGGCTTAATATATTGTAATTAAAGTCACCAAAGTACAGGACAAAAAAAACTTTGAAGATATAAAGGTAGAAAATTTTTCATATTTGATGGAACTATAAACCCCCAAATCCAAAAGCATTAACAAACTCCAAACACAAGAAACATGAAAAAAATTATACCAAGGCACATTGTAAGTTCTGAAAACTAGTAAAGAGAGTATTTTCAAAGTGCCTAGGAGAAGACCCACTATGTTCAAAAGAGTAATAATACTACATGACAAAGCAGGCTTTATCCCAAAATGAAAGAATGACTTAACCATCAAAACTTGATCAGTGTAATTCATCTCATTAACAGTAGGCTAGAGAAAAATCACAGGATCTCAAACACCAAAAAAGCATTTGACAAAATTCAGTTTGCATTCATGAGAAAAACACTCAAAAACTAGAAATGGAAGGGAAATTCCTCAAGCTGGTAAGGGCAGCTACAAAAAATATCTAGCTAACAAATTTAATGCTGAAAGGTTGTTTCCTTTTAAAATTCTGAGAAAAGAAGAATGTTCATGTGTACAGTTTCTATTCAAAATTGATTTAGAAACCCTAGTAATTGAAGTAAAACAAGTAAAAGAAATAAGTAATGCAATTATTAGAAAGTTAGAAGTAAGAATATTGTTTTTGTACAGAAGTGTCTATATATAGAAAACCCAATGGAATTCTAAAGAACAAATAGGTCTAAGTAGAATTAGTGAGCAAAATTAGCTATGTTGCTGGATATAAGGTCAATAGGCAAAAGTAAATTTTATTTTTGTAAACTATGAGTAAATTTTTGAGAAATACCTTTTTAAAATACCATTTTTAATAGAATAAGGAGTCCAGGAAATATATAGAAAATCTACATACTTATATGGCAAGTTGAACTTTTCCAAAGTATAAAGTTAATTCAATTGGGAAAGAGGGTTTTGTTTTCGTTTTGCTTTAACAAATAGGGCTTAAGCCATCAACTATTTCTATGAAAAACAAAATGAACATTAACTTCTACCTCACTCTACAAACAAAAATTATTTTGAGCTGGATCACATACCTAATGTAAAAACTGGAATAATAAAGCATCTACTAGAAATTATAGGAGAATATCCTCATGACTTTGGGATATGCAAAGATTTCTTAAATAGATGTTTTGAGACTCCCCAGCTAAATTGGGTTCCAGTACCAGAGCAGCTAGCAACCCTACCCTAGTAGGAAATGAAGGGGAGTTGGTCATGGGTGTTTACAGTGTTCCTTACTTTTTTTTACCTGGCAGGCGGTCTAATGCCTACTTGTCCAACCAATGACCAAGGGGTTCTCCACACAGGAAACTTGTTTACAATGGCAGACACCCTTCTGGCTCTCATCTGCCCTGTGTTCTGTTCAGATCTGCCTGACCATCACTCTGGCACTAGGAGCATAACTTTGTGAACCCCCATCTCACCCCCATGTTCTGAAGCAAGTTTGGCCTGAGGTAGCCCCTGGTTCGAAATATGGAAGGCACAAATTCAATACACCATCGTAATAGAAAACAAGTTAAAATACTTTTACTTTCAGATCCTGGGCAGGGATGTTGCAATGCGTTAAGAGGGCAGTCCTCCATCCTTGGGTCATGTGATGCAGGAATAAAGAATCAGGCAGAGAGAGAGAGGAAACTAGCAATATGTATAAGGAAATAGCATGTGGGATGTGGGTTATTTTAAGTTCACAGGCAAATGCGTGAATGGTCTGTTTACCGAAAGCCACAGGAAAGCAGGGGACCCAGTCTGCTAAGTGGGAGAGATGCTCCTATACCTCTGGCCACCAGCTTGAGCCATTCAGGAGTGCTGCTCTACTTCTAATGCCTGGGCAGCAACCTTTAATTTATTTATAAATATATATTATATATATATATTTATATTTTTTAATTATAAAAGAAAAAAGATTCGCAATTTTTAATTCATTCAAAAAATTTTTTGAACAAAAGTAACATTAAGAATGTAGTCGATCTGCAAATGAGGAAAAATATTTGCAAAACATATATCAGAAAGATAATTTATATTTAGAAAAATATTAAAAATTGCAAGTCAATAGTAAAAAGATATTCAACTGACAAAAAATATGCAAAGAACTTTAACAGTTATTTCACAAAAGAAATCGTGTGCTAGAATAGCCAATAAACACACAAAAATGGTGCTTTACAACATGAATATCCAGGAAAAAACAGATTATGATCACAATAAAACATCGCTTTACACCCAGTAGGATTGCTAAGATTCAAAAAAAAAAAAGAATGGGAATATTTAAGTTGGCAAATTTGTAGAGAAACTGGATCTCTCATTCTTTAATGGTATGAACGCAAAGTGGTATAACTGCTTTAGAGAACTGATTGGAATTTTCTCATGGTATTAAATACAAATATACCCTATGATACAGCAATTCTACAACTAGATATTTAGCCCAAAAAGTAAATATAAATATTTACACAAAACTTATACAATAATATTTGTCAGGCCTCTGAGCCCAAGCTAAGCCATCATATCCCCTGTGACCTGCAGGTACACATCCAGATGGCCGGTTCCTGCCTTAACTGATGACATTCCACCACAAAAGAAGTGATAATGGCCTGTTCCTGCCTTCACTGATGACATTGTCTTGTGAAATTCCTTCTCCTGGTTCATCCTGGCTCAAAAGCTCCCCTACTGAGCACCTTGTGACCCCCACTCTCCCTGCCAGAGAACAACCCCCCTTTGACTGTAATTTTCCTTTATCTACCCAAATCCTATAAAATGGCCCCACCCTTATCTCCCTTCGCTGACTCTCTTTTCAGACTCAGCCCACCTGCACCCAGGTGAAATAAACAGCCATGTTGCTCACACAAAGCCTGTTTGGTGGTCTCTTCACACAGACACACATGAAAATATTGATAACAGTTTTAATCATAATTGCTAAAACTAGAACCAACCAAATGTCCATCAAGAGGTCAATGAATAAATTGTGACATAGTCACCAAATGGAATACTACTCAGAAATGAATATGAATGAACTACTGACAATTCCCCCAAAATTAAATCTTAAAAATATTGTATTTAGTGAAAGAATCCAAACACAAGAGAGTACATACTATTTGATTCTATTTATATGAAAGCTAAGAACAGGCATAACTAATTTATGTATTAGAATAGTGGTTACTCACTTGATTGTAGTAAACTGGCTAGGAAGTGACCCAAAGGAAGTTTTGGGGAGCACAATGATCTCTATTTCAGTTGGAGTTGGAGTTGCACAAGTTTATAAACTTATCAAAACTCAAGAAACCGGACATTATATTTTACAATCTAGGCATTACATTTTGTCTCAAAAATGACAAATTATTGAATATAGGTAAGTTTGAGAGAAAGTAAGATGATACTAGAAATCAGGGAGAGAGAAGAAATGTGAGGGTGTGCAATCATGGACAAGATGAAAAGTTTGTGTCAGAGAAAAGAGAGGAAAAAAGGGCAATGAACAGGATAGCTCATAAATATAAAGTGCCCATAATATTACAAAGAATACCTGGAAAGGTAATAAAATTTTGTTATTAAGTACAATAAATAAAAATCAGGAGAAACAAAGTAAAGGGTAGATAATGAACAGGATCTAACAAACTTGAAGACACATATATATGTATGTATATATATATATATATATATATATATAGTCTTTTATATACACATATATAAAATTTTATTTTAATGAATTAAAAATTATAGATCTTTTTTCTTTTATAATTTATCCTTTTTGTGTCATGTTGTAATGAGAATGATGCAGTAAATGTTGCTACCTGGGCATCAGAAGTAGAGCAACACTCCCAAATGGCTCAAGCTGTTGGCCAGAGATAGCAGTTTGGAGGCATCTCTCCCACTTAGCTGACTGGGCTCCCTCCTGCTTTCCTGTGGCCTTCTTTAAACCACAGGAAGAGAAAGAGAAAAACATCTTTATATCTGATTAAACATCTTGTGTGACTTAAGAGAAAACTTTAAGTGTATTCATTATGACATTATTTTCTAGCAGTTCTGCTGACCCTGACCTCTCACATAAAAAAAATTGAAAAGAACTTTAGCAGCTGGCAAGTAGAACAGCTTTATGCTATTGCCATAAGGTGTGTTTGGGTCATTTGACAGGTTTTTTTTTTTTTTTTAATCCATCTAACTGAAAGATTTTTCTGCATTAAAAGTGTATTTGTTGTTTTGGTTTGGTTTTTCTTTTAGACATTTAGACTATGCCTTGCTTGTCATGGCATCACTGTACTGACTCAACACGAGCCAACAAAAGCCATTTATAACATTCACACATACATATTCTTTAAATAACCAAACTATTTGCATTAGCAATTATTTTTGCACTGCTTTGTGACATTTCTTGAATTACTCCTTAGAATATTATTTGATTTATTTATTCTTTCATGCTTAAGAAAACAGTTTCTGGAGATGAGGCCACCAAGATGGAAGAGTAGGGGATACCAGCCTTTATCCCTCCATAAAAATATATACACAGCTATCCACAAACCAAAATAGGCCAATGAGGGCTCAAAGGCCTATTAAAGAATCTGCAGCAATATAGGAGAGCAAAAAGACACTATATCCACATAGAAAGGATCATTGGTGAGACTGACATACCTGAGATGCCAGTAGATGACTAGGGACAAATAAGAAAGTCACAGGCTGTTGATATCCATCTTGTGACAGGAACCACTGTAGTTTCCAGAGGCCTGCTCCACAGAGGACACTGGCATCTTTTGCCACTGAGGTTACAATTTCTACCAGGGAACCTCAGGGAAGGAGACATGGCTACACACCCATCTTCTACCAAAGAAGCAACCACTATTGAGCTGCTTCAGGAAAGGAGCCGCCATCTCTCACAATCACAGCTGCCCTAAGTGTCCCAACACTCTAGACCCAAACTCCATTGGTGCATTGGGTCTGCCTGTGTCTCAAACACTGGAACCATAGCCATGACGAGCTAGTTCGCACTCTGAGCTCTGAAGCCAAGTTTTCATGGCACATGCCATATACATCCAGGCCCCACACTGACTTCAGAGACACTCAACTTGCACAAGCCTGTGTGCCCTTTAGCTCCGTGGCTGTTTCACAGGCACCCATGCCTCACAAACTATTAGCAACATGGTGGTAAATGTGCCTGCATCTCAGGGACTAGAGCAATTACTTTGCAGATCCCAGAACCAAAGTGCCCACACATGTGTCCATGCTTCATGCCTTCGTTTCATGGTCACTCATCAGATACCAATTCCACTGCCACCATGGCTGTGTCTGCAAGCCAGTCCCAGGGCCAAGAGGAATCCCCTCAGCCAAAATTTCCTCAGTAGGAGAAAGAGAGAAACACCTTAGCATCCATTGCCGCCAAAGACCTCAACAATCTTCATTACCACTGCAAACATCCAGTCTTGCTGCTAAGGATTCCTGCAATGTTTGTCAACACAAACCTCAGATGATAGAGCTGCACAAAGACTACACAGCAGTGCTGTCACTAGTGCCAGTACCTTTGCACCTCACCCAGAAAGTGCCCTCACAGCCTCCCTCATTTGGGAAAGGACTTTTTACAGAGAAACAAGTCCATAAACTTTGGAATAGGTGACTGGAATACATCAAACATGCAGACATCAATGTAAAAGGCAACCAGACACATGAAAAACCAAAGAGACAAAACATCACCAAAAGAACACAGTAATTTCCCAGTAGTTAATTCCAAGTAAATGAGGATATACAAACTGCCAAAAAGAATTTAAAAATAATTGTTTTAAGAAAGCTTAGTAAACTTCAAAAAATACAGAAATAATTCAACAAAATCAAGAAAGTAAGTAAATGTCCAAAACAAGAAATTTATCAGAATGGTTGAAATTATATACATTATTAAGAAACATAAAATCTGAAGCTGAAAAATATAGTGAAATGAAAAATGTAATAGAGACTGTCAATAGCAGAATTTATCACGCAGAAGAAAGAATCTGTGAACTTAAAGACTGGCTATTTGAAAATATACAGTTAGAGGAAAAGAAAGAAAAAAATAAGAAGAAATGAAGAAAGCTGACAGGATTTATGGAACAGCATCAAAAGAGCAAAATTCAAACTATAGAAGGTAAAGAAGGTTAAGAGAGAGACAAAGGAGAAGAAAGCTTACTTAAAGAAATGATAGCAAACAACTTTCCAAATCTGGGGGAAAATATAAATATTCAGTCACAGAAAAGTAAGAAGTCTCCAATCAGATTCAACCCAAACAAGACTACACAAAGACATATTATAACTAAATTGTCAAATATCAAAGGCAATGAGAGAATCTGGAAAGCAGCAAAAGAAGCAAATCACATGTAAAGGAGTTCTATTAAGGCCAGCAGTAGATGTCTCAGCAGAAACCATACAGAACAGAAAAGAATGAGATTACATATCCAAAATGCTGAAGGGAAAAAAACTGCCAACTAAGAATATGCAGAAAAGCTGTCTTTCAGAAATAAAGGAGAGATACTTTCACAAATAAAACCTGAGGGACTTGGTTGCCACTCAATCTGTCTTATAAGAAATGCTAAAGGGAGTCCTTCCAGTTGGAAAAAAATTAGTAACACAAAAGCATATGAAAGTATAAAACTCACTGATAAAAGTACATATACAGTCAAATTAAGAATACCTTCATACTGTAATGTTGTATGTTGTTTAGTATAAAGGTTAAAAGACAAAAACATTAAAAATATTAAAATCTACAATAATCTATTAAGGGATATACAATATAAAGTGATTAAAATTGTGATATCAAAAAAATGAGGAGATGAACTAAAATTGGATCTTTTTATGTGATCAAAGTAATATTTCTATAAACTTAAATAGCCTGTTATTATTATAAGATATTTTATTAAGCCTCATGGTTACTGCAAGGCAAAAATCTATAGTAAATATACAAAAGCCTAAAAAGTAAGGAATCAAAGCATACCACTGGAGACAATTATCTAGTCACAAAGAATTCCAGCAAGAGAGTAAGAAAGAAACAAAGGATCAACAAAACAAAACAAAAACAATTAACAAAATGGCAGTAGTCAATTCTTACCTATCAGTAAATATTGTGAATGTAAATGAATTAAATTCTCCAATCAAAAGACATAGACTAGCTGAATGGATAATAGGAGAGCCAACTATACACAAGTGACTTACTTCACCTTTAAGGACACCCTTGAAAGTGAAAGAATGGAAAAAGGTATTCCATGCAAACGAAAACCAAAAGAGAGAAAACAAATAAAAACCAAAAGAGAGAAAGAGTAACCATACTTATAACGCATAAAATACAATTTAAGGCCAGGCACAGTGGTTCATGCCTGTAATCCCAGCACTTTGGAAGGCCAAGGCGGGCAGATCACCTGAGGTCAGGAGTTCGAGACCAGCCAGGCCAACATAGTGAAACCCTGTCTCTACTAAAAATACAAAAAATTAGCCGTGTGTGGTGGCAGCCGCCTGTAATCCCAGCTACTCGGGAAGTTGAGGCAGGAGAATCACTTGAACCCGGGAGGCAGAGATTGTAGTGAGCTGAGATGGTGCCATTGCACTCCAGCCCAGGTGACAGTGAGAGCCTCCATCTCAAAAAAAAAAAAACAAAAAAAAAAAACACACAAAAACAAAAACCAAAACCATTTTAAGTCCAAAAGTGTAATTCAAGAAAAAGAAGGTTATTATATACAGTTGACCTCTGATCAACTGGGTTGTTCAGGGTTTGAATTGCACAGATTCACTTATACATAGGTTTTCTTCTGCCTCTGCCACTACTGAGACAGCAAGACCAGTTCTTCATCTTCCTTCTCCTCCTCAGTCTACTCACACTGAAAAGGCTACACGAAGACCTTCATGATGATCCACTTCCACTTAATGAATAGCAAATATATTTTCTCTGTCTTATGATTATCTCAATAGCATTTTCTTTTCTCTGGCTTATTTTATTGTAAGAATATAGCATATTACACATATAACATACAAAATATGTAATAATCAACTGTTTACATTGTTGGTAAGGTTTCCTGGTAAGAGTAGGATATTAGTAGTTAAGATTTTGGGTAGTTAAAAGTTATACATAGATTTTTGACTGTATAGGAAGTTGATGCCCCCAACCCCCATGTTGTTCAAGGGCCAACTGTAGTGATAAAGAGATCAATTCATTAAGAAGATGTAATTGTAAGTATATAGATGCGCAGTATGACAACATCTAGGTACAGAAAGTAAGTATTAATAAATCTGAAGAGAGAGAGAGACTGCAATTGGGGACTTCAATCTTCCATTGTTAACAATTGGCACATCATCCAGACAGAAAACCAATAAGGAAACACTGAACGTATGCTACACTTCTAACAGACATATACAGAACATTTCATTCAACAGCAGCAAAATACACATCCTTGTCAAGCATTCACAGAATGTTCTCTGAGACAGATTACACGTTGGGCCACAAAAGAAGCCAACAAATTAAAACTGAAACCACATCAAGTAAAATAGAGAAAATATTAATGCCTATTATATCAGGTTATGGTGATGATTAAATACTAAATGCTTAGAATAGCACTAGGAACACAAAAGTCCTAGATAAGTGTTAGGGATCATTTTATTATGATGATGATTGTCATTAATATCAGCAGCAGCATCAAGGGATCCTATCATTACAGCCTTTTTGGTACAAAAAATCCATTAGTATGGGATCAGAATTTTTATCCAGTCCACAATATTGGGCCCCATAGTTCAAGATATAAGATTAGCTATAGTCATTGTTGCAAATGTGGATTTGTAATGGATATAAATATTAATTTGGGTAGGACTGGCTTATGAAACATGAAAAGATACATTTCTGAAACTAAAACACGGAGAATCCATGTCTAAATTATAGTAAATTCACCAAGACAATATTACCACCATGGGTACCTGTTCTGTAGGTGAAACTTACTATATCTTATTTTCTCCTTCCCGTTAATCATAATTATGTCTAGGTTAGGTAACAGTAATAAAATTACTATATTATTGTAAAGAATAGGGAAAGACTGTAACCCTGAGTATGAAAAGCAAACTTGGGGTGAGAAAATTGAAAAAATGGGCAAGTCTATGTTTTGCATTTTAAAAGTTGAATAGTTCTAATTGGCAACAGCTTAACAGTGGAAACTAACATCATTAATTACAATTTAGTACGATGATTGCCATTGTATTATACAATGTGCAATGAGAAAGGAGAAGAAATGTATTTAATCTTCCTGAGGGAGTCAGGCCCTAGGTATACACAAAAGTGACCATTAGGGAAGAAAGTCATCAGTTTTGAGACGATTAAGAATCTGTAGAGTCAAGGTACTAGAAGCTACACCATTATTAATATTGAACTTATTGAAGGGAGATCAGAGAAAAAAAATTTCAATTTATTTTTCAAATTGACAAATAAAAATTGCCGATGTTTATGGTGTACAACATGATGTTTTGATATATGTATACATTATGAAATGGCTAAATCAAGCTATTTTACTTAAGCATTACTTCACATGCTTATTATTTTTGTGTGGTGAAAATGCTTAATATCTACTCTGTTAGCAATTTTCAAGTACACAATGTCGTTGTTAAACGTAGTCACCATAATATACAATAGGCCTCTTAAACTTATTTCTATTGTTTAACTGAAATTTTGAGTCTTTTGACCTAAATCTCCCCGATCTCCCCATCCCCCATCCTCTGCTAACCATAATTATACTCTCCGTTTATGCACTTGACTTTTTTCCACACATCATTGACATCATAAATGTTCTTCAGCACTTGGCTTATTTCAGTTACCATAGTGTCCTCCAGGTTCATCCATACTACAAGAAATATTTAGGTAGTCTTTAGATAAAAATAAAATAACAGTCAGAAATCTGGATCTACACAAAGAAATAAGAAGCACTGAGCATGGTGACTACATAAATAAATAAATATATATATATTGTTTTATGTAACTATCTTTAAAATAAAATTGTTTAAACAAAAAAAATGTAGTAGTGTGTGGTTCAGAAGATACGTAAAGCTAAAATGTAGGAAAACAATAGCATAAATATCAGGAGGGAAGAAGTGGAAGTACACCATTATAAGGTTTTAATATTATACTTTAAGTGGTATAATATTAATTAAAAGTAGACTGAAAGGTTAAAGTTATATACTATAAACGTTAAAATAACTTAATATTTTTAAAAACCACAAAGAATTATATAGGCAATCATTCAACAAATGAGATAGAAAAGGATCATAAGGATATGCAATTAATCTCTAAAAATGTGGATAAAGGGAGTGAAGAACTGATGGGACAAACAGAAAACAAATAGCAAATGATAGCTTTAAGCCTAACAGCATCAGTAATTACATTTAAAGCAAAAAGTCTAAAGGCCCCAAATAAAAAGGAAATATTTCTAGTTTAAATATAAAGTAACTCCTCAATATTTGTTGCCTACAAAAAACATTCTTTATATATTATTTTTAACATCTATTTTAGGTTCAGGGTACATGTGCAGGTTTTTTTATATAGGCAAATTTTGTGTTGTCTGTGTCTGATGTACAGATTATTTTGTCACCCAGGTAATAAGCCTAGTACCTGATAGGTAGGTTTTCAATCCTCACCCTCCTCCCAACCTTTACCTTCAAGTAGGCCCTGGTGTCTGTTTTTCCCTTCTTTGTATCCATATGTACTCAAAGTTTAGCTACCACTTATAAGTGAGAACATGTAGTATCTGGTTTTCTGTTCCTGGGTTAGTTTGCATAAGATCATGACCTCTAGCTCCATCCATGCTGTTGCAAAGGACATGATCTCATTCTTTTTATGGCTGCATAGTATTCCATTATGTATATGTACTACATTTTTAAAATCCAATCTACCATTGATGGACACTTAGGTTGATTCCATGTCTTTGCAATTCTGAATAGTGTGGTAATGAGCATACACATGCATGTGTCTTTATGTTAGAATAATTTTTGTGCCTTTGGGTATATAGCCAATAATGGATTACTGGGTCAAATTCTGAAAAAAAGACACTTTAAATATAAGAAAAATGGGTTAAAATTAGAGATGAAAAAATATATACCATGACAACACTAACCAAAAGAAGTCTGTAGTAGTTATACTACTATTAAAGTATATTTAAAAGCAAAGAATGGCAGTGGTAAATGAGGTCATTTCATAAACAATAAAGGGTTCCACTACTCAAGAGGACTTAACAATTCTGAATTTTTATGTACTTAACAAGAAAGCTTCAAAATTCCTAAGGCAAAAAGTGAGAAAATTCCAAGGAGAAGTAGAAAAATCCACAATTATAGTTGGAGATTTCAATAATCTCATCATAATTAATAGGATTAATTGATAGAATAAGTAGACATGAAATTAGTAGGAAAGAAAGGATATAGAAAACTTGAATAACATTATTAACTATCTTTACCTAATGGGCACTTATAGAAAATTCCACACAAATATAGAAGAATACACTTTCTTTTCAAATGCATATGGATCATTTAACAAGATATACCGCATTCTGAGCAATAAAACAGTATCAACATATTTAAAGGATTCAAATTATATAAAGCATGTTCTCTAAAGTCAAACTATTTTCATAATAATACGCAGGCATTATTAGTCTATTTTCACCCTCATTATCTCACAAGTTTACAATGAAGTTTTCAAGAACCTACATGATGTGTGACATTGCAACAAATTGAATACAGAAGTAGCTTTAAGATTCCAATTGTCTTTTGTTAAGCCAGACACTACCATTTTCAAAAAAAATTTAAACAATAATGTTCCCCTCATTAATATGTTTTGGAGAATGTGGTATTATGCCCTAAAATGTATCGATTATGTTGATATATAAGACGTTTTAATTATTTTAGATTACTTAATACAAATTTTTAAAATTTCTCAGTTTTAATTTCTGACCCTATAAGTATTGATAAATAGAGCCCATAAAAAGAGAGTTTCTCCTTGGATATTTTAGTAATTTTTAAGTGAACAAAGGAATCCTAAGTTCAAAAAGTTCAAGAACCATTGCTTAAAAGCACAATTCAAACATTGCCACTTTTTGATTCATGGGAACAGTGCTAGCTTTTCAGCTGAATACTTCATTTGGAACTGAAGTTTGACTGTTCAGGCCCAAACTCATCCTCTGCTCCCACCAAATCAATTCCTCCTATTGACATGTCTGTTTTTGTTAATGCTTAATTCTCTGAGTCACAGGTAGTTGAAATTTTGAAGCAGATATAATTTATTCTTGCCATGTCCTTTTTTATTGTATCTCTGTTAAGTGTTTGTATGTTTGACACATCTACGCACTAGATTGAAAGTGCCCTCAGGCTGTAGAACATATGTTAATCATACTTTTTAAAAAATCTCCTTTAACATAATACTGGGACCACACTCGATAAATCAGATGTATTTTTAGAATGATTCACAACTGATTGTTTGATAAAAATGACATCAAGTTGGTACTGATAATTAATATTGCAGACACAATGTTACTTGTATAACCTGGGATATTTATATTATTTGTTAGAACTAAGTCATTATTTAACACAGAATTATAAGCCTGTTCATGAGCCTCTGGTCATAATTAAGCACACCAACGTGATTTTAACTATCTTTAAATTTAACATCATCATAAAATACCACTATGTTAGGTATTGATAAAATATTAATATGTTATTATATGGGGAGCTCAGGATCTGTTAAAAGCTTTATGTAGCCTACGCTAGGTAGAAGGGGCTACAATAATGCTAAATAGTTTAAATTTTGCATTAAGCTTTTTGCGCTTATGTTTGTGCCCCTGGTTAAAATAGCTATGAATGCTAAAGTCTGGGAAATGCATTAACAAAGGCACTAGTGCCAGGATGGACTTAGTTCAAAGTAGAGCCATTTCTACCATATATTAATGATATTTCAGGAGGCTGGATCATAACTAGGGTCATGATAGCATGACAGGCAATGGTTGCAGAGACAGCATGACAATATGGCTGCTGACTGACACAGACGCTTATGTGGGGGAAGTTCTTTGCCCAGGGGTGAAGGATGAGCCTAATGCAAAGTATTTCAAGATGCAATAATGTGTGAGGGTAAAAGTAAAAGCACTGTGATGATGGTTGAGAAGTGATAGATCTTGATGGCAAAATATCTCCTGTGGGAGTAGTTGAGTTACATGCAGGATTGTCTCTTTGTTTTGGCTGAATTGATGGCACTATCTAACTTACAGATGCCTCCTTTAGACTTACCTTTAAGGAAAACAATTTTGTTGAGATTCTAAAATGATTATATCAACTTGTTACACTGCTCCAAGATCACAGAAAGCTATATTTATCAGAAGTTACCTTGATACCTAACATAATAAGAGGTTCATTATTTCTTCATCTAAATAGATAGGTAAATTAATATTCCACGAATTACAATACTTCTAAAAACAAACTAATGCCTTTTCCATTTTTGCTCTAAACCATTTATGCATTTGAGTTTAGCCCTTAAATATTGCAGTTTTGCCTATGGTTACAATCAAATGTGCTATTTTGACTATATATATATATAAATCAATCATATTGTGTTAAATAAGGCCACGTATAAATTTGCTTTTGGCTGCTCAGTTTAATCAAAATGAACTTTAGAAGTACTTAGAAATTATAGAAGTGCAAAAATAAGATCTGTTAAAATGTTATTTAATTTAGAATACCTAATCAAGAGGGAAAACACAAGCATTATCTTATTTAAATGTAGTAATCTTTTGGTGATCTCATCAGTAATAGTTTTTCACATGTAGTACTGAAAATTTAGAAAAGGTGTTTAAGAAATGGATTTGTCATTCCTTCAATGAATGTAATTATTGAGCATTAAATATACACCAGGGACTGGCAAAGAAAATAACTACATAAAATATCCTACTTAACATCAATAAAATGGGGTATAAGTTACTTCTAGAAAAAAAACAAATGGTCACCATTCTGAGTATAGGAAAGAACTTGGACTCAACTGTATTCATTTGTTTTTATTGCAAGTAGAAATGTTATTGGCAGGATCATTAAAAACAAACACCCATTTTAGTTCTTAAACAAAGACTTGGACAAAAATGAATGGTTTGAGAATTCCTTAGTAACTGAAGTATGGATGAATGATAATCAAATCAAATGTACCCAACTTCATTCTAAACGTAGACAAGACAATTATACAACATTGAGTCCATTATAACCATCATTCCTTCTATGCTAGAGAGATTGAAAGAGTTTTGTTTGGGGTATGAAGACCAGATCTTTGTCTCAGTCTATCCCTTCACTTCTTGGTCCACCTTCCTCACATTAAGCCTAATATTGTCATTGACCTTGCTAACTCCTCCTAAGATATTGCACATCTCCTCTTACAGTATTACCTTTACAGCAAATTGCGCTCTTCCTCTGGAAGTTACATAACCTTTAGGTAAACAAGAATGTCTAATGTGTACAATTTCTTATTAGATTTATTTCTCTTTTCACTTTTTTCTTCTTCTGTTTCTGTGCTGATGACTCTTCCTCTGTCTAATCATTCTGAACTTTCAGTGTTCATGCTACCATTGCCTCCTTTAATGCCGTTGTTTACCCATATTGCTGTTGGCATGTCTCTAAACACAAGCCCTAAAACTTCCATCTGGATCTTTCTCTCTATGGTTTGTTTTTGCATTAATAACTTGAAAGACTAAAAGGGCTATTTATCTGCCATTTAGAAAATTCCATCGTTGTGATTTGAAGAGACAAGCTTCTAGGCTGTATCATCAGAAAGGTACTAGTTACAGGTGAGAAAATACACCATTTCTGTAATATGCCTGTTAGCCTTCATGATAAAGCACCTGCCACTTTTCAACTCCCATTGAAATCAGGCACCCTGCAAAATCTATAGCTATACTTTTAGTTTTTCAAACATGCTGGATAAATAAACATATTTCATGTTACAAATAGATTTTTGAGAAACACTGAAGGATTTCTAAGGAAAGATTCTTTTCCTTCTATTTTTGACTCTCCATGAATAGATGAGTGTAGTCCAAAAAGTTCTGAGCATTTTTAAAAAGTATAACTGGGCCAGCATTTCCTGGAATTCATCTTGATTGGAGGCATCTGGCTTATAATCTCAGTATTGCAAAGAGGCTCTGAGACTCCAACTTGAGCTGGCAAATGAATTTCAGTCGTGTCTGGAAAAGCCTCTCCTGTTGAGCCAGCAAATTCTACAAGTTCTTTTGAAATTGAGTTGCTTTGTGAAAGTGGAGACTGACATGTTTAGGGTTTCTTGGACTTCAAAATTCTAAGAACATGTGGGGCGATCTATAATAACTTTTCTCTACAGACTCAGAAAATTGATGAGAGTCACTGTAAAATTCAAAAGTTTTCTACAATAATTAATAGATCTTGGGTCATCGTGGTATCCTATCTTACTAAAGAACGGCCTAATTAATCACTCTCATAAAGTAGTGTTTATTCCAAGGAAAGTCTTTTCTGCTCATTGCACATATATTTCTCTTGTTCAAATGAGTCCTATTCCTAGGACTGATGGGCTTCAAGCAGTAGTGGCACATGTTCTACTTGATCCCTTATGTTGTTTTCAAGACATTTTTCATTTTTCAGAAGTCTGCTATATCAAACAGAAAAAAACTGAAGTTGCTCAAAATGAAGAAAAGGAGGTTTGCCTTGAGCCCCATCCATTCATCCTTCCTTCATTCCTTGCCCCAACCCTAGAGGCACCTCATTAGAACTCCCAGTACCTTATAACATTCAGATTGAAAATGTCTAAGGCAAAGCAACAAGTTTCACACAGAGCCTTGGGCACAAATTCCATTTTCAGTCTGTTGTAAATGTATAATTGTAGCCACACTACTTCATAACTTCAGCATTTGAGGATTATTCGTAATGCAGGAACACTTATATTTTTTATAAAGTATTTTTACACATTCTACATGCTTTCTAGTATTCTTCACTTTTTAAATAAGTTTTCATATCACCGAAGTAATACATAATAATGTAGAAAAATCAGAAATTAAAGAATAGAACATACAGACAGAAAAATAACGACTAATATTTTCAGAACCCTTTGTAGATGCTGTCAAGCCTTATTCTAAATATATTTACATATAATAAGTTTTATGAAGTTGTTATTATTATTCTTCCTGTTCTATAGATGACAGACTAAGGAAGAGATGGGGCAAATAACTTGCTCAATATTGTATACTGAAAATATTATTGGTGTCTGAATTTTTGTGTGTGTGCATAGATAGCCTCATAATATATTGTTCTTCTCACTTAATAACCTATTTCTGTGTTAATAAATATACGATAAATAGTGATTCCATATACAAACAGACAAACCTGATATAAATTAGAGTCATTCAAAGAAGAATCACACACATCTTCATTCTCTTTACCCTCTCCAATTCTATCTGCATCTCTGTCTCCCCCTCTGTCTCTTTCTCTTCCTTTCTGTTGATTCCCTTCAGAGTTAGCTAAGGCAGTTGAAAAAGAACAGCCAACCCTGTTTAAGCCACACGATATAAATTTTATGTATTTCAAATATTGGGGTTCCATGTAAAAATACATTCAAAGAAAGCATTTTACAGATTAAAACAAAAGTTGAAACGTTTAGTTTTATTCAACAGAGAAAATATGAGCAGCTTACCAAATTTCTTCTCAGCATTAATGAATGAACACAATTTTATAGCCAAATATTGTCAGATGCCAAAAGAATATTATCTCAACAACAAGCACTATATTTCAATTCCTGTGGTTGATTAAGGCTTGCTGATAAGGCAACAACGAGTAATCAACAAAAAGTAGCATTGGTCTACTATGTTAGAAGATACAGTAAAATTGGTGATTATCATTAACTTAACCTAGAGCCAAGCAGTGAAGCTGAGGGGAAAATTTAATGTAAGACACTGAAAAGGGAAAACCAAAGACAGGAACGTATGCTTCATAGAAATATCTATGATAACAATTCCATAAAAGTGAAAAAGTAGCAACTGATCCGATTGGTGTTGAAACAAGATTCTTACATTGAGACGTTGGAAAAGAAGCAAAATGTGCCTATAAATACTTAAGTAGTTAGATCGGTATAAAAGGATAACATGATCTCATAAAGCAAATAATCAAATTAATGACAAACTAAAAAACATAAAATGCATAATAAAAAAGATATGTCTAGGAAAAAAATCAGTCCAAATGAATACATAAAATTTCATTTCAGAAATTCTAGTAAAAATGCTTTCTCCACAAAATTTAAATTAAAATTCTTTTCAGTTACTAGGTAGAGTATATAATATTTATCTAAAACTAATGATATTTAATTAATATGTGTCTGGAAACTGAATGACCATTAAGAAAGAAATGAAGTGACACAGACAAATTTACATTCATTAAAATGCATTAAGTGCAATGACTAAATGTATTAAGTTTCATATATTTACCACAGGGAACTGTTTCTTGAAATTTCATTAATGTGAAAAATTATGACTAATATAGTGATTTAAAAATGTTTGTGATACAACACAACCTTTGAGTAATTATAAGAAGTCACTTTACTTTCAGCTAACAGGTACATTGTTAAATATTTTTATATCCTCTGCTAGTAATATTCCATTGTCAATTCACTTAGAGCTTTTCTAAATGTGTAACTCATTTTCTATAATTTTCAATCACTCAATGTACTTGTCATTGGAAGACTTATCACATGAATTACAAATGTTCCTGTCATAGTCTTTGTCTTCAGACATCTAGAAGTATAAAGCAAAGAGAGGATGAAATAATAACTTTAAATATTTTGTTGTTTTTTGGTAAACAAATTATCTTGACTTTACATCCATAAATATGGAAATAAAATTTTCAGATATGTTGTTTATTCAATATATAAGGTTATTTAGTGATTTGACTTATACATCATGTTAAAAATTATAATTAATGACACTGGATGAGAATGTATATGTGACATTTAAAAAGTCTGTGAACCAATATTTTTTAGAAATCCTTCAAACTGCAGATTCTTCTCGTTGGGTGAAGTATAGTTTTGTTTTTATAGACGAATGTTTAGGAATGTTTGGAAAATTTCATTAACAGTAAGTCAAAGGGTTCAAAGTGAATTTCAGATTATTTTTAGAAAAGTTTATAATGCAATTAGCATATGATGTGCTGCCATACCATAAATAAAGTGGTATACAATGAGGAGAATTTTAAAGAAATTAGAATAATACTTGAGAGTTTTTTTTTAATTTTAATGATCTGAAATGTTAATCTGCATACTAAATGACTAGGATCTAATACCAAAAGAGGACCAATATTTCAAAATAGACGTAAAAGAGTCTTTTTAGCAATAGGCACTTTCTCTATCATTTGCTGAATACCTATCACCTCCTGGATTTCTAATTTCTAAATATTATAGCAATATTTATACCATATCCTATGCATTGGCAAATTTCATATCAGCTAAAAATAATAAAGCAGCTTAAAGAATTAGAAATATACATTATAATATGCAAAGAGATGAGAGACAAAGGAAGAAATCTAGCATTGTAGCCCTTGTCTACTTATATTTTTTAAACTGCTGTACATTTAAGAAACATTAAAGAATCCATGAAATGTGATTATGATAAATGAAAATGTATACTTTAACATAAACAATTGAAAATTGGTGCTCATTTCTGCAATATAATTAATAACAAAAGAAAACAATTTTGAAAACTTTTTCTTATAGGTTTTAAAATCTGTGCCAATGGATGCCTGATGCAGACATGGATCTTTATTAAATTGTATTAAGAGTATTTGAATAACTGGAATAATTTATTTAGTTTAATATACAGTCATACATGAAAGAATACAGTATATATAACTCAGTATCATGCTGAGTATATTTTATTTAGCCAAATAAAAACATCATAGTCCTTGATTTTCATCTATTTCTTTTTCTTTTTTAAGAGATAGAATCTTGCTCTGTAACCCAAGCTGTGGCATGATCATAGCTCAAAGCAGCCTTGAACTCCTGGGCTCAAGCAGTACCCTTGCCTTAGCCTCTCTAGCAGCTAGGATGACTGGCTAATTTATTTTACTTTTTGTAGAGACAGGGTCTCACTATGTTTCCCAGGCTGGTCTCAAACTTCTGGTCTCAAGTGATCCTCCCACCTCAGACTCCTAAACTGCTGGGATGACAGGCAAGAGACACCATTTCTCGAAGATCCTCAATCTGTTTCTAAAACAAAATCAATACCACCATTATAACTATATTTGCCACTAAAACAAAATCAATACCACCATTATAACTATATTTGCCACAACACTTGCAAATAAATACGTGAGTACAGAAAGATATTTCAATAGTTGAAACAGATTTATTACAGAAATATAAATACATACCAAAGTTATGTTCATGGGAGGTTTCAGTGCATGAATTGGCAATAGTGCTAAAAGTTAAAGAAAAGTTATAAATTATGAAGACAAAAGTCAATAACAGAGACCTGAACAACTAGACTTATGTCCATTATACTATTGCGTCATCAGGGAAGTCCTCCAACTTTGAGCTGAAAGAAAGAGTTCCAGATAAAAATTTATCATCTTATTGGTAGTCAAGAGCAGCTCTAAAGAATATCTAAAGAGCAATTCAAACTCTTACTGGTTGTGGGAAAGGAAGCCATAGACATAGATGAAGAGTGAATGATTTTTAAAAGTTAATCAGGCCGGTCGCGGTGGCTCCAAGCCTGTAACCCCAGCACTTTGGGAGGCCGAGGCGGATGGATCACCTGAGGTCAGGGGTTCCCGACCAGCCTGGCCAACATGGTGAAACTCCGTCTCTACTAAAAATACAAAAAATTAGCTGGGTGTGGTGGCGGGCACCTGTAATCCCAGCTACTCAAGAGGCTGAGGCACGAGAATAGCTTGAACGCGGGAGGAGGAGGTTGCAGTGAGCCGAGATCGGGCCATTGCATTCCAGCCTGGGCAACAAGAGCAAAACTCCATCTCAAAAATAAATAAATAAATAAAAAAGATTAATCAAAGATGGATACTAAAAGGATATACATAAGGTTGAAGAGGAAATTTAAAAATCATATTCACAATATTTTGCAGTTAAATTGGCTTACAACTTAATGACTGATAATGGTATTCATGAGCTTGATGTCTGAGAGAGAAGACAGTCTTCAAAAATTAGTTCTGGTATTCAAAATGAATGTTTTTCCCAATACAGATTACCTAAGATTAAATGATTGATTCTGCTATACTTTCTAGAGGTTTCTTATCTGTGAAATTGAGACAAAATCATAACATCTACTTTACTGGGTAGTTATGAAGATTAAGTGGTTTAATAAATGTAAAGTACCTAGAACAGGACTCATCATTCCCTCAGCTATTACCACGATACAAGCTATAATTTTCTCCCGAGACCATTGCAAAACTGCCTGCCTGTTCTCCCTATTTCTTCCACTCTCCTCATGGTCTTGTCCCTCTAACCTAGCCTCAGTTTCTACCACTTTAGCCCCGACACACTCTGTTCCAGTCACACTGTGTTCTTTGTCAATCTTTTCACTTATTCTCTCTTTTGGAAATGCTCTTGCTCAGATATACATATGACTTTCTCTCTCTTCCCATTTAGCTCTTAGGAGGGACCACTTTATTTGAGAGCCCTTCTAAAACCAAGAGAGTGCCACTCCTATTCCTTAATCTTTTCTAGCTTCTTAATCTAGCTTTATTTTTCTTCTATAACATTTATCACTGTTTTGCAGACCATGTACTGACTCATCTTTTTTGTTTATTGTCTGTCTTCTTTGTTAGATATCTTCTGTTTGGCTCTCCAGAGACACCTCCACTCTTCTGTAGCCTGATTTTTGCCCAGGACACCTATCTGTACTGACAGTATGAAGAAATTCTCTTCTCTGGCATCTTGTTAGGTTTGACTAATGGAGCACCCCAGCAGCATAAAGGAGGCAAGGAGAAGAGTGAAGTAAGGTTATGTATCTTACTTGGATCATTTTAGTAACTGATTCACTTCAGACTCATTGTTTTCTTTTAGCGAAGATCATTTCTCTTCTTAAGAATGATTTCTTCTACATCTGTGCTACTTAAACCATGATCCAAGGAACTTCAGCATTGGCATCATCTGGGAGCTGAGTAGATAAACAGACTCTCAGGCCCCAATTCAGATTTACTGATTCAAAAGTCTACAGTTCAACATGAGCTCCAGGTGATTCATAGGCATGGTAAAGTTTGAGAATCACTGCTTTTCTGGGTTCCAGTAGTTTTTTCATTTCATGGAGAGGCAATGACAGCTCCAACTTTTCAAAGGCCCATTTGTTGTACTATTCCTTGTGCTTTCCCTACACTTTGCCAAAATCTTTGCAAATATCTTATTTTTAATTAAGTCTTTTTCAAATTATCCCAATTGTCTAGCTATCTGTGAGAATCCTAGCATGATAGATCCATTAGACTATGTACTCCATGAGGACAGAGACTTTGTCTGTTTAGTTTACTGCTTTATCGCTAGGTCTTAAAACAGTTTTTGGGCTATAGTGAGACTCTCAATATTTTTTGATAAATTGAACAATGCCTGGCAGTAAATGTTAGTTTGTATTAGCATTATTATTATTATTTAATATCATTGTTATGTTAACCTCTAGCTTTGATGTTATCCTAAGACACAATGAATACTGATATAGTCAAAATCTGGATTACCAAGATTGATCATCTCTTCTTCCTTTTGCAGCAGTGTAATAGTTTTTTGGAACAAATGGAGAGGTCTGTTTAAGAAAGCGACATTAAAGCTGAATCCTAAAAATTGATTAAGAGTTGGCCAGGTAGAAATAGGAGTGTTTTCCTGGCAGAGTAAACACTTACCTGGAAGTGGTTAGAGAGCTGATTTTCTTAGAACCTATAGTTCACATAAAGGATTTTGCATTTTCTTTTAAATAAAGGAATTCAGTGAGGAATTTCATGCAGAGAAGTGATATTTTATGCTTTTAAAATTTGAATATCACTGTTGATTAGAAGATTATTGCAGAGGAAGCAGGAATGAAATCAAGAAAACCAATGAAAGAGATCTTTCAGTGGTCAAGGCAAGAGAAGATAGAGACCTGCACTACTTTGGTGAAAGATATAAAAAAAAGAGTTTGAATAAATGTGAATGTATATTTAACCGAATGTGGTGATGGGAAAGATGAGGAAGGTCAGGGCAAACTGAGAATAACTCTAAAATTTATGACACAGGCAACTGAATGGTAGATGTGTCATTTGCTGCAGTAAAGAGAATTGTTAGAGTGATAGTTTTAGAGAAGAAGCTCAAGAGTTCTGTATTTGGCATGTTAAGTAAGACTGAAGTGCCTGCATGCATTCAAGTGGCGATGTAAAAGTAAGAGTGGAATAAAATATCAATTTGTGAGTTATAGTAATATTTAAAAACTTGGGAATGGTAATATTTCTTAAGGAAAGACTACAATCAGGTTATATCCTTGAATAACTCTAATACTTAAAGATCAGCTACAAGTGACTACAGCAGGGTATAAACAGAGATAGGAAGGAAATAAGGAGAGTGTGAGGTTACAGAATCCAAAAGAGAAAAGAGAAATCATCTACATTAGAATTACCGTAGACCTTCTCTACCAATAATAGAATCCAAAAGAGAGTGGAATCATATCTTTAAGAGTTGAGAGAAAATAACTATAAACTTAGAATTCTATATCTGTAAAACTATAACTCAATATTAAGAGGAAAATAAGAACAGTTTTATATAAAAGCTGAAAATGAGAGTTTATTATTAATAAATCCTCTCTATGCTTTACAACATGTCAAAAGCTATGGTGAGCGAGCTTTTGGGCAAAGCTAAATAAATGTGAAATGTAACGATAATAAAACAGTTATAATGACATTTTAAAGAGGTTGAAAAAGTAAAGTGAGTGGAGTTAAATAGTAGACAACAATGCATATTAAATGGAACATGAGTGGGTAAAAATAAGACATTCAAACATTCCTACATTGTTTTAGTGTAGGGTAGATATATTGTTTATTTTCAGAGAATATTAAGACACATATGCATGCTAAAAATGCAAAGGCAAACACTAATAAAATAGGATTATAACATAACACTTTCAAACAATTAAGACGAGGAGGGAAATAATAGCAATTAAATAAATCAAAGAGAAAGCAAATGGGGAAACATTATGAGTAGAAAGTACAAGTTAAATTGCTTCAAATAAATTCCTCAGAAATAATAATAAATGTAAAATGAGTTAATTCATCTTTTAAAAGAGATTACATTTGATTGTTTATATATACAGTAGATTAATATATTTTATACAAATATCACACACATATGTCTAGTATAAATATAAATAGTATTTATGGAGGCAAGTCTAAAATTTAAGAATAAATAAATGTTAAAATTAAAAATAAGATTTTATCTCAGGAGAACTGCAAATGGCAGCATGGGCAATACTTGAAGCCCCCGACATTTGGGCAATATAGAAGATTAAAGATAAATGAATTAATGAATAAACAAAATAAATGTTGCTTAACATAAAATATCTAAAAGTCCTGGGTGCAAAAAAGTGAATGTTCTTTAAATAATTGTTTCAGCTGAAAAAAAGAAAAAAGGAAATCGCCAATGGCTAAAAGCAAAGAAGGTTCAGAAAGCCAATGCTGTGAGTTGTCACTGAATTTGTGGCTGATTCTGATAATTCAGAACCTTGATTCAGTTGTATGAGGAAAAAGAGACAAGCCTTTAGAATATAAAAGGCATGGATTTTACAACTGGGATGCCCAACTGAATCTATGACCTCAATCTATGTGTTACCTCAATGAAAGAGAAAAGAAAGAATGCAAGTACTTGCTTACCTGGGATAGGTATCAGATTCTATACAAGCCAGGGAGAAGACATTCAGCTAAAATTTTAAATAAATGGCCCAAATCTAAATGTGGGCTAGTTTAAGAGCTTATCACCACTGGGAACCACATACACAAAAGACATTTGTGCCCACTTGCAAGTTTTCATCAGACTCTTCCTGGGCATTCATAAGAAGACTGAGAATATGGTGAGAAACCTGAGAATGCATCCATCCGTCATGGTGCCAGTTTTGGGAAGGGAAACATCAGCCACTACAGAAATGGCAAAAAAGGCTGTTATGGACTGCATGTTTGTGCCTCCACCTTCCCATATGATGTTATTAAGAGGTGGAGCCTTTGGGAGGCAATTAGGTCATTATAACAGAGACTTGATGATAAGATTAGTGCCCTTAAAGAAAGAGAATTTAAAGGCCTTGCTTCCTCTCTCTTCACTGTGAGAGCATACAAGATAGACACCTGCAAACCAGGAAGAATGCCCCTACCAAACACCAGACCTGCTGGTACTTTGATCTTGGACTTCCCAGCCTCAAGAACTGTGAGAAATAAATGCTTGTTGCTTAAGCCACCCAATCTATAGTATTCTGTTATAGCAGCTTAAACTGATTAAGACAAAGATCCACCCAGGTTCTTTTCTCCCATCTCTCCTGTGGTGCAAAAGCTTTAAGACCCTGAGAGGGGAGCAGATACTTTGTCACTCCCAAGCAATAGGGGAAGATTCTTTACAATTGGTTGAAAGGAATAGAATAAATATCCCTCTATCCCAAAAAAAGAAGCAAGAAAGCACCCTGGACCAGATATTTAGAGAGCCTCTGCCACTGAGAAAGGGGCAAGATCACTGAGAAGACCCTTAATCCAGGGACAGATCATCTGCCCAATACTAAGGCTGAACTAGAACAATAGAAGACAACCCCTACCCCTGTCACTAGGCTAACAAGTGTAGAGTAAATAAATAAAAGCAGTCTACTGCTGGGAGAGAGAGAGGCAAGTGCATTAAGACTCTCTGAGTGCAGGTAGAAAGAAAAAACTTTAAGTTGAAGATAGAATCATAAATTGAGGAAAGTCAGCTGACAAAGCATTCGTCACATGAAGCACAAGGTAATTCTAGAACTGAGACTGTGGTGCACTGACAATAACCACAGCAATAGGAAAATCCAAACTTAGTTTAAGCTATAACTATATTGATTCAACCTCTCACACTAGAAGCATAGCAATAAATAAATAAATAAAATAAGTAAATAAAGGCATGTCTATTTCTAGGCATAAAATAAATGATTTATTATTTTATAATAATATGGATGATAATATATAATACCATATATTAGTATACTATATATATACTTATATACTGTAATATATACTATTTATCTTAGTTTCTACAGTTTTACTAAAGATAACAGGCTTTCAAGCAAAAATTACATGATACATACACATACACACAAAAGGAAAAAAGCACACTGTAAAGACAAAATTATTAACAGAACCAAATTCAGATATAAATCAGAAAATTTAAAATTACAATAACAATATCAAAGTTTCCATCATATGAAATTAGAAAGAGGAGCAAATTAAGTCTAAATAAAGTAGAAGGAAGAAGATAATAAACATATTAGTAGAAATCTATGAAATTGAGAACAGAAAACAATACAGAAAAATCGATAACACCAAAAGTTGGTTCTTTTGTAAAGATTAGCTAAATTAACAATCTTTAGCCCGACTGACCAACTTCAAGTTCACTAACCAGGAAAAGAGAAAAGACTCAAATTAGAAATATCAGAAATTAAAGAAGTAACATCAGGACAAACATTACAAGCACCAGAAAGATAGTAAAGGAATACTAAGAATAATTATATGTCCATAAATTGAACAAGTGGGATTAACAAATGAACAGATTCCTTACAAAGCTCAAACGGTGAAAACTCAGCCAAAACAAAGAGATAACTAGAATAGCTCTATAGCTATTAAAGAAATCTAATTTGCTATTGGAAAACTTTCCAACAAACAAAACTCCAGGCCTAGATGGCTTTCTACCAAGTATTTAAAGAAGAAATAACATCAATAATATCAAGATTTTCCAGAATATAAAATAAGAAAGAATATTTTCCAATTTTTTTTCTTAACAGCAGAATTACCTTGATGTGAAAAAAGACACAATAAGTCTCGACGATATGCCACCAGATGCAATCCAGCTATATGTAAATATAAATACATACATAAAGGATAACACATTATGACCAATTGGAGTTTATTCCTTAGATACAAAGATGGTTCAACATACAAAATCAGTTAATGTAGCAAGGCACAATAGTGCCTATAGCCTCAGCTACTTGGGAGGCTGAAATGGGAGGATCAATTGAGCCCAGGAATCCAGCCTGGGCAACATAGCAAGACCCTGACTCTGAAAAAAAGTTTAAAAATCAGTCAATGCATAACATTCGTATATGAAAAACCACAGTGAAAACCATGCTCCCTGGAGAAAGACTGAAAGCTGTTCCTCTAAGATCAGAAACAAGTAAAGGATACCTGTTTTTACCACTTTTATTCAACATAGTACTAGAAGACCTAGCCAGAGTAGTTAGGCGAGAAAAAGGAATAACAGGTATCCAAATTGGAAAAGAAGTAAAATTATCTCTCTTTGCAGATGATATGACCTTTTATGTGGAAAACCCTAAATATTTCACACACAAACATCTGTTAGAACTAATAAACAAAGTTGACAAGGTAGCAGAATACAAAGTCAACACACAAAAATTGGTTGCATTTCTATAAAATATTAATGAACAATTCAGAAGGAAAATTAAGAAAACAACTATATATATAATAGCATCAAAGAGAATAAAATAGTTAAGAATTAACCAAGGAGCTAAAGGGCTTGTATATTGTAAACAAACAAACAAACAAAAAGTTGCTGAAGGAAATTAAAGAAAACATAAATAAGCAGAAAAACACCCAGTATTCAAGTATTGGAAAACTTGAAATTGTTAAGATGTAAATACTACCTAAAGCAATGTATAGAGTTAATGCAATCCCTACCAAAATCCCAATGACATATTTTTTCACAAATAGAAAAACCCATCCTAAAATTCAGATGGAATCTCAAGGGACTCAATAATCAAAACAGTTCTGAGAAAGAAGAACAAAACTGGAGGCATCACATTTACTGATTTAAAAACTTGCTACAAAATTACAGTAATAAAAACCCTGGTTCTGGCATAAAGACAGACATATAGAACAGTGGAGTAGCACAGAGAATCCAGACATAAACCTTCACACATATGATCAGATTATTTTTGACAAAAATACCAAAACCATCCAATGGGGGAAAAGACAGTCTGTTCAACAATTGATGCTGGGTAAACTGGATGTCCACATCAACAAGTGAAATTAGACCCTTATCTAACACCATATAAAAAACTAACTCAAAATAAATCTGTGACCTAAGTGCATGACCTAAAACTATAAAATTATTGGAAGGAAATATAGGGCAAAAGCTTCACAACATTGAATTTGGGAGTGATTTCTTGGATATGACATCAAAGCACAGGCAACAACAACTAAAAAGACAAATTAGTCTTCAGGAAAATTAAAAAATTGTGCGCATCAAAAGACAGTATGAACAGAGTAAAAAATCAAACCACAGAATTGGGGAAAATATTTGGAAATCATATATATGACAAGCTATTATTATCTAGAATACATAGAACTCCTAAAATTCAACAACTGAAACCAAACAACTTGATTAAATATGTGCAAAGGACTTGAATGGACATTTCTCCAAATAAGATATACAACTGGCCAAAAAGTATATACAAATGCTCAACATCACTAATTACTAGGGAAACACAAATCAAAACTATAATGATAGCCCCTCACACCCATTTGGATGGCTAGTATTAGAAAAACAAAATGACAACAAGAACAGTAAAAAAGAAAACAAGTGTTGGCTATGATGCAGAGAAACTGGATCCCTTCTGCACCATTGGTGGAAATGTAAAATGGAACAGCCACTGTGAAAAATAGTATGGCTGTTCCTGAAAAACTTTAACATAAAATGAATAAGACCTAGTATTTGATAGCACAACAGGGTGACTATAGTCAATAGTAATTTAATTGCACATTTTAAAATAACTTAAAGAGTGTAATAGCACAAAGGATATGGATATATGATTGAGGGGATGAATACCCCATTTTCCATAATGTGATTATTGCTTATTACATGCCTGTATCAAAGCATCTAATATACCGCATAAATACATACACCTACTATGTAACCACAAACATTTTTTTAAGAAAATAAAGAAATTAAATACAATTACCATATGATCCAACAATTCCACGTGTGGGTGGAACCTGAAAGAATTAACAGCAGGGTCTTGAGACATTTGTATGACCATGACTATAGAAGCATTATTCACAGAACTAAAATGTGGATGTAATCTGACTGTCCACTAATGGAAGAATGAAGAAGCAAAATATGATATATAGATAAATATTATTCGGCCTTAAAAAGTAAAGAAATTCTGACATAATGCTACAACGTGGATAAACTTAGAGGACATTAGGTTAAGCGAAACAAGACAGTAACAAAAGAAAAAATACTATATGATTCCTCTTATATGGGGTATTTAGAGCAGTCAAAATTGCAGAGACAAAGTTGAATGGTGGTTGCCAGGGTCTGAGGCAAGGCAGGATTAGGGGAGAAGGGAGGGAGTTATTGTCCAATAGATTAGAATTTCAATTTTGCAAGACGAAAAGAGGTTCGCAGATGGATGGTGGTAATCATTGTACAACAATGTGAATGTACTTAATTCCACTGAATAGTACACTTAAAATGGTTAGTCAATTTCATCTTGTGCATATGGTACCACGATAAAAAAATTGGGGGAAAAAAACAATCAATGCAATGCACCTATCAACAATTGAAGAAAAAGATATCATATGATCATCTCAAATATGGAACAAGTATTTGACAAAATTCAACATAAATTTTTGATAAACACTCTCAGCAAACTAGGAATAGAAGGAGCTTCCCAGACTTGGTTAAAGGGTATCCACCAATAATCCTACAGCTAACATCATTTGTAATGGTGAAAATTGAACGTTTTCTCCTTAAGATTGTGAAAAATGCAAGGATGTCTGCTATTGCCTTTCATATTCAACTTTATAGCAGAGGCCACAGGCAGTGCAACTCTCCTGGATAACAATCAAAAGAATAATATATTATTAAAAATTAATACAGAAAAATATTATTAATAAAAATTACCAATCTCAAAAACAGAATGAGAAGAGCTTATCTCTAGATGGGAGCGGAGACAGTGGTGGGCAGGAGGCAGAAGATTATAAATAAATGCGTTGTTTCTTCTTTTTTGTTTTAAAATGAAAAGACACTGAAGCTTGTTTTCATACTGGGGGTAAAAATCTAGTACAAAAAAAGGAGTCAATGTAATGAGGAGAGAGAACCAAAGTAAAATTCCTTGAGCAGGTGAGAGGAAATGCAATCCAGGGTGCAGAGAAGGTTAGTATTTGACAGTAAGAAAGGCTCTTCCTCAGAGTCTACTTACCCATTAGGCTCAGTAGGAACAGTTTTAGGGGCCTCCAGATGCTTTCAGGGCCCATGAAAATGTTTTCATCAATTTTAAAATCAGAAGTCATAATGTCATGCTCTTCTCTGTGGAATCCCAACAACACTAGTATGTCAGCAGAAACAGGTTAGTTGGTAGATTTAGTGGTGGGAATAGGAGAGTGTTCCCATCTAAGTACTTTTATACTCTCTATAAAATATGAGCTTATCTTGGTGCACTGATGGCTTGGTACCTCGGCAGAGACTGAAATAATTAGAAAAGTAAAAAATAACACACAGAATATCTGAGAATAGAGTAGTGAGCATGAAAGAGAAACACAGAATGCTAAGTAGAGTTAGCTGTTCATTTGAGATCAGAGATCAAATATATATACAGCAATATCTTTCTGCTGGGCTGTGTGACTTACTCCTAAAAAAAATAAGTTTGGTTCACATAGTCTCTGAGTTGTGCTAGTCAATTGCTACCCAAGCAAAGAAGAGAAAGAACAAAAGTAAATCTCTCACTCTCTCCCCTTGGCCTTAGTATCTCTTTTGCTCTCATATGTAAATATATCCTAAATGAAAGCAATTTTCACTTTAAGCTTTAGGATTATTTGAAACTTTTATAATGAGCATTTCTCAAAGAGGTAAAATGAAGAAAATGCAGCTCTATATTTGGTTTACAGAATTATAAAGCATATGGGTTTGAGAAGATATAGACAGGACAAAAATCCTAGCTACTCTACTTACCAGCTGTGCAACCTTAGACTTAGAGATACTTAACCTCTCTGAGCCTTTTGTTTTCTTTTCTGCAGAAAGAAAAAATAATAACATCTAATGTATAATAATTTTGATAAATATTTGTTTAAATGATGTACAAAGAATAATTTAGTGCACATATATAGTATATATATATGTCTACCTGTGCATATATACCATATATGCACTAAATTATTCTATATACACACACATATATAGTGTATATGTATGTAATCTAATATAGAAATTAATATATAAAATTATTCTATGTATTTTATACATATATAGATATATAATATATAAAAATAAAATAAAATAATATATATTTATATAGTGCCTGAATATAATTGTTACCATTATTAATTGATGGAAAAACTCTTGTCAACAAAAGTAATTAACAAAACTTAAGCCAAAATCAAATCTTTTTTTTTTTCTCATGAGGCCAGGAAAAGTACAAAATTAAATCTTTAAAAATGTTTTATGTGGTCCTAAAAGTAACCATGAAGAAACACACACAGCTCTTTTTTTTTTTTTTTTGAAACAGAGTCTCACTCTACATACAGCTCTTTTATAAAATGCACCAATAAAATTATGTTTTTAGAAAACAATACACTTATTCTTTCATTCGATTGTTCATTTATTTAACACAAAAGTATTTATCTAACACATGCTGTATGCTCAGCATTTAACTAAACGCTGGGATAAAGTGGCAAATCATGCAGGCTTCTGAAGCTCTTCGTGTCCTTCTGCCATTTTTTGATTTTTCCTTGAGTTTAACTCTATATGACTCTTAAAAGTTTAAGATGCAAAAAACAAATTATCAACTCATCTTCAGTTCTCAACTCTGCCCTTCCTTTAAGAAACTATGTTAGTTATTTTAAGAACAGGTAACTGCTAACTGACATTGACTTTTCTGCATGACTTACTTTCCTCTGTTATAGAATCTGACATTTGCCTGATATTTCTTCATAATTAAGCCCTGACTTCTGAATCTCTATGCCCCACCCCACCCAGGGTGGGTATAAGACAAATACATTCCTTAACCAGGTTTACCAGAGATAGCAACATATCTGAGCTATCTCAGCCTAGATGTCTATAGAAATGCCTGCACTAAGTTATGATTCAGTGTTATGAACTGGGTTGCTATCAAAGGCTGATATAAGAAATGGCCATTTAAAATATGTTACTCTATTTTCTGTAAAATGTGAGTTGAAGACATTATCCATTATTGTTACTCAACAGCCACACCATAAATTTCCTCTAGAATTTAGGGACAGGAAAGTATTTGTCTCAACAGATAAACTTTTATGTTTTCTGTAATCTGACAAAAGTAGTATATAGCACAGTAGATAAGATGATGGCTTTGGAGTCAGATAGATTTGGGTTTGAGGACTAGTCCAAACTTTTTCTGACTAGGGAAATCATGTAGTTCTTTTAAGTCTTGCTTTTTCATTTGTAAAAAGGAGACCCCGTTTACATTTATGTTGTTTTTTGGTGGTAGGGGGAATTCAATGAGACTAGACATGCAATACATTTTATAATATCTTGTAGATAGTGAATTCAATTAATATTATATTTTATGTTTACTACCAGTATATAAAACCATACATTTTTTCCTCCTGCCCTAATGTTCACATCTAAGTTTTCTGCTGAATTACACTTATAATCTTGCCCAAAATTTTGGGTACAATAATTTTTTTTTCATTTCTTCTTCTAAATCTTTTAAATGATTTCTTATTTATATATATCTTTCTAAATATATTCAGTATTAAAGATGACAAGTATTTTTTATGTTTAGGGGTATAAAAATATCTAAAGAATAGAAAATCCTCAAAGATATCCTATTTTGTATAAAAATTAAGATGTAATTTCTACATGTCATATTTCAAACAAATGAAAACAATTATATTTAATAAATACATGACATATAAATAAAAAATGTTAGATTCCTGTTCTGAATCTGATGTGTATATATGTGTGTGCATGTGTGTATGTACATATATGCATGTATGTATATATATATAATTTTAAGCTCTCCCCCAAATATAGAAGAAATCTTAGTTGAATACCTAAAAATCTCAAAATAAATTTTTTTTTTTTCTAAAAGAACAATATAAAAAAGGGTCAATGCCACATAGGTTTAAAAATCTGCAGTTTACCAGCCAAATTTTCTAAAAGCAGATATTAAAATGTAAAACACACACTAAAAAAAAAAGATTTACAATAAGTAAGACAAGTGTATATGTTTTAATAGTTACTACAAAATATTTTTTAAAAATAAGTAAAAGGGATTACTAGCAACCAATAAAAAATGATAATCTTCATATGAAAAGGGTACAAATAATGATAAACAGACAACTTACATAAGAAATAAAGCAAATAGTCAAAGTATAAACAATGTCAACTTTGACAGCAGTAAAATATGCAAATCAATAGAAATTTTTAGAACACAAAATTGGCAAAGTTTTAAAAATTATTGCACCTGTTATGTATACTGAAATAGTTATTTTCACATACTGTTGCTAAGGGTTTAAATTACTAACAGTTGTCTGAAAAGAAATGTAGTGCTAAGTATCAAAAACTTCAAAAGTATTTCTATCTTTAATCCAGTAACTCCTAATTGAATTTTAATCCAATAATTAATTCCACATTTAAGATTTCACTCTAAGAATATTATCAGAATTTGATGTGAAAATACATTAATGTGAAATTATGAGCAATGTAAATTTAGAGACAATCAAATTATCTACCAATAAATGCAAAAATGGTAAAATATAGCATGTATGTTCATATTATTTGGTCATTCAAATTATAGACATTTAAATAGTCAATATGAAAAATGTTCATGACATATTAAATGAGAAATAGAATAAAATTAAAATTTATACTATGACACCAATTACATATATAAATATGTAGTATATTTACACTACACTATAATATGTACACATAATATACATATTTTAAATTACATATACTTATATAATATATATTTTAAATTATATATTTAAAATACATAAATATATATAAATATATAGCTAATATATATACCCATATGTATATATCAGAGGATTTCTGATAAAACTCATTCAGAACTGACAATCAAGTAATCAAGAATGTTAATTCAAGTGACAATTCAAAAAAAAAATATGATAGGGATTCTGCTTCTTGCCAAGATGGCAAATTAGCACAGGATGATGGCTCTCTCTTCCCAGATCACCTCTAGACAGCCTATAAAAGAGTAAGGGGGCTGGGCGCAGTGGCTCACGCCTGTAACCCCAGCACTTTGGGAGGCGGAGATGGGAGGATCATGAGGTCAAGAGTTCAAGGCCCCCTGGCCAACATGGCGAAACCCAGTCTCTACGAAAAGTACAAAAATTAGCCGAGCGTGGTGGCACGCGCCTGGAATCCCAGCTACTCGGGAGGCTGAGGCAGGAGAATCTCTTGAACCCGGGAGGTTGCAGTGAGCCGAGATCGCGCTACTGCACTACAGCCTGGGTGACAAGATTGAGACTCTACCTTAAAAAAAAAACAGTTTAAGGGAAAAGTGCACTTTACAGTTATTAAAAATATAAGGTAAATCTGGGGGAAACCAAAGTTATCATGAATTGTGTGGCACTGTTTCTGATGGTGGTTTGGTGTGGAGGCAGCCAGAGTTGGCTTTTCTCGTTTGTGCCGTAAAAATAATTCATACACAGAAGAATGAATAAAGCCAACAGCTTAAATTACTGAAAAGAGAATATCAAATAAACACCACCCAGGTCAAGAAATAGAAGTCCTGCAGTATGCTAGAAGCCTGAACACACTTTTTTCCAATCAAAGGTTTTCTGTCCTGCTCATTTCACCCATACAATCTAACCGCGATTGTTTAACTTTCAGTTATCAACCTTTGCTAGTCTGAATAGTATTATGAACTCTATGCCCCAAAACACTAAATTTTTTATTTAAGTTTTGAATATATTATTAAATAATGAGTTTGCTCTGGTCCTTTTAATCCTTAGAAATTGCTTTCAATTGGCTGGGCGCGGTGGCTCACGCCTGTAATCCCAGCACTTTGGGAGGCCGCGAGGCAGGTGAATCACCTAAGGTCTGGAGTTGAAGACCAGCTGACCAATATGGTGAAACCTCATCTCTACTAAAAATACAAAAAATTAGCCGGCTGTGGTGGCACATGCTGTAATCCCAGCTACTTGGGAGGCCGAGGTACGGGAATCGCTTGAACCCTGGAGGCGGAGGTTGCAGTGAGCCGAGATCCTGCCATTGCACTCCAGCCTGGGCAAAAAGAGCAAAACTCCGCCTCAAAAAACAAAACAAACAAACAAAAAAAAAAACAAAGAAAAGAAAATAAGAATAAAAGAAAAAAGAAAAAGAAAAGAAATTGTTTTCAATTATACACCTCAAAAATTTTACTGCTTCAGGTTTTTTATTCACTCCTATAATAATTAATTCATTCATTTTTAATGAACTTATATAACCATGGTTTAGATGCAATAAAATAAGTCCCTTTTAAATGTACATGTGGAAGGTATACACTCATGCAATTATCGCCAAAATCAAGATGTTAGAACATTTCCATCACCTTGTAAAAGTTTCTTTGTGCGTTTTTCAGTCAATTCCCTCCCTGCTCTAATCCCTGGACCCAAGAAACCACTAATTTGCTTTCTGTCACAATATAGTGTATTTGATGTTTTTAGAGTTTTATATAGATGGAATTATACCATGTCTACTTTTTTTGTATCTGACATTTTTATCTAAGTATATTTATGAGATACATACATGTTTTTGCCAGCATCAGTAACTTGTTACTTTTTGTTGTATTGATACATTGTATAGGTATACCAAAATTTTTAATCCATTTCACTGTTGATGAACATTTATGATATTTGCTGTTTTCAGTTATTATAAATAATTCTGCTATGAACATTTATGTTCCCTCTTTATCCTTAGTAACATATTTTGTTTTGAAGTCAGCTTTGTGATGTAATATAGTCAATCTATCTTTTCATATGCTTGATATTTTCATAGTACATATTGTTACATCATTTTTCTTTGAATATATTTGTTTCTTTATATATGAAATTAATTTATCAGACTACAAATAATTGATTTGTGTTCTTTCCAGTCTGATAATCTCAATCTTTTAATTGGTGTGTTAAGACTGTTTACATTTAATGTCATCATTGACATGGTTAGGTTTAAATCTACTATTTTGACACTTGTTTTCTATTTGTTCCATAGTTCTCTAATCCTCTTTTTATCTTTTGGATTGAATATTTTTCAACATCCCATTTTATCTCTACTATTGGCTCTTTGGCCAAGACTCCTTTTATTATTCTCTTAAGGTTTTCTTGAGGGCTTACAATATATATCTTGAGCTTAGCAAAACCTACCTTCAAATAATATTATAACATTTCACATGTAATATAATACATTTTACTTCTACATATGTTATGAAGACCATAATATTATTCATGTTTTTGCTTTAGTCAATTAGATTTTATAGGAATTTTAAAATACAAAAAGTTTTCCTTCATTCCTGTATGTACATCCAAGTTTCCTTCTGGTATTATGAGGAACTCTTTCAACATTTCTTGTAGTGAGGGCATATTGCAGTAAATTCTCACACAGTGTTTTGCTGAAAAAAAAATTTAATTCACTCTTGTTTTTGAAATACATTTTCTCTGGTAAAAATTCTAAGTATTTCTCCACTTTTAGCACTTTAAATATGTTATTCTTTTGTTTCTTGACATGCATAGTTTCTGAAGAGAAATCTACAGTCATTCTCATTTTTGGTTCTTTGCATGTAATGTGCCTTTTCTCATCTAGTTGCTATAAATAATTTTCTTTATTACTAGTAGTCATCCATTTGATTATGATCTATTCTGACATAGATTTTGTGAGTGTGGATTCATGGGTACATCTTGTTCTCATCTTTTTTTCCAGATCTAACTTTTTCAAATATTTTTTCCATTCCCACAATTTTTCTTCTGTTCTAGAATTTCAGTTACGTGTCTGTCACTTTATGTTTCTTCACTGATTACTCAGATTCCAATCATTCTTTTGCAGTCTTTGTTTTTTCTTCTTCATTTTGGATTGATTGTATTACTATATCTTCAAGTCAGTATCTTCTTCTGTAGCATCTAATCTGCTCCTAATTATATCCAAAAACATTGATATCTTTACTGTGCCGTGTCTCCTAATCCATGAAAATTATGTCTTCTCATTTATTTAGGTATTTTATTTCCGTCCTCAGCATTTTATAATTTTCAGCATGCAAATCCTCTAGATGTTGACTATATACTTAGCTAAAGTTATCCTTTTGAGGGGAGCTATTGTAAATTGTGTTTTATTATTTATTTATACATATTTTTAAAATTTATTTATTTATTTATTTTGAGGCAGAGTCTCACTCTGTCACCCAAGCTGGAATACAGTGGCGTGATCTCAGCTTGCTGCAACCTCCACCTCCCAGGTTCAAGTGATTCTCCTGCGTCAGTCACCAGAGTAGCTGGGATTACAGGCATGTGCCACCAGGCCCGGCTAATTTTTGTATTTTTGGTAGAGACAGGTTTTGTCATGTTGGTCAGGCTAGTCTTGAACTCTCCCATCTTGGCCTCCTGAAGTGGTGGGATTACAAATGTGAGCCACCACGCCCAGCCTAAAAATTTGTTTTCTATTGTTCATTGCTAGAAAGAAGAATTATAACATGCAGATTTTTCATGGAACCCACACATTGTCAGGTATATACCCAAAAGAAAATAAGTTATTCTACCAAAAAGACATGGGCACTCTCATGTTCATTGCAGCACTATTCACAATAGCAAAGTCATGTAATCAACCTGGGTGACCATCCATGGGAAAATGGATAACGAATATGTGGTACGGAATCAATTTATTCCTCTGGATTTCAGCTATTTGTGTGGTACATATAGACAAATACACCATGGAATACCACACATCCATAAAAAAGAATGAAATTTGGTCCTTTGCAGCAACATGGATGCAGCAGGAAGCCAAATCATTATCCTAAGTGAATTAATTCAGGAACAGAAAACCAAATACTGCATGTTCTCACTTGTAAGTGTGAACTAAACATTGGGTACACAATGATGGGAACAATTGGCACTGGGAACTATTACAGAAGGAAGGGAGAGAGCAGGTTTAAGGGTTGAGAAACCACCTATTGTGTCCTATGCTCAGTGCCTAGGTGATGGGATCAATCACACTCCAAACCTCAGCATTATACGATATGCCAGTTTAACAAACCTGCATGTGTGCCCCTAAATCTAACATAAAAGCTGGAAAAAGAAGAATTATAATTGATTTTATGTGTTTATTCTGTATCTTGTGACATTAAAAACTCACTTAGTAGTAGTGGGAGTTTTGTTTTTGCAGTCTCCTTGGAATTCTATAAATGTACAAACTTCTTGTTTGCTAATAGGGAGACTTTATTTTTTTCCAATACATATGCTATTTCTTTCTTTCTCTTTTCTTATTGCACTGGCTGGAACAGGAGTGGAGAAAATGGATATCCTTGTCTTCTTCTGTAAGCAAAATAGCACTAAGTGATCTTAAGGGAAAAGCGTTTAGTGTTTCATCATCAGATATTTTGTTAGCTTTAGGGTATTTTTGTACATGCCCTTTATGACGCTTAGAGAGTATCTTTCCAGTCTCGGTTTTCAAAGAGTGTAATTATGAAGGAATGTTGGAATTTGTCAAATGAATTTTCTGCATCAATTAATATGATCATAATGTTTTCTCAAGATAGTGAGTTATCTTGATTGATTTTCAAAAATTGAATTGCCCTTACATTCATGGGATAAAACCCATTGAGCTTAGTGATTTCTCCAGAGAGAATTTGTTATATTATGCCCAGTTTTCCAGAATGCCATAGTATGGCATTGTTTCCTGTTAATTTCTCAGTTTGGAATTTTCTGAGTCTGAAAATGTAAGATGTAGATAATATAATGTTGAATCTCAAACCTGTGTGAACATTAAAAGCTGGCCTGTAGTTAACATTCCTCAAGACAATTTTTGTTTTTTTTACGTAGACCTCAAGGAAAGATAGAAAATTTTTCTTGTCTTTTTTGTTGGTGAGTTAGATTTTGCTATTCGACCCTTTTACTGAGGTTGAAATGCATCAAAATTCCACTTTATACAGATAAGTTAGCTCCAACTGTCACTTTACTTAAAACAAAAGACTTGTGTCCTATTCTGCATAGTTTGTAAAATGAAAACCTCTTGCTTTAGAGGTTACAAAATGCTCCCAGGAGTTTTGCCACTCCAGAATCAATTTATTCCTCTGGATTTCAGCTGTTCAGTTATTATGTGGTACATATACACAAATACGTATACACAAATACGTATACACAAATTCAGCTGTTTGTGTGTGTGTGTGTGTGTGTGTGTGTGCAATTTGTTTTGTTTTCTTTTGTTGTTCCATAATTTCTTGAGCCCTTAGGTGTTTTATAGCTTTATTTTATTTTATTTGTTTCAAATTGGGGGAGGTTTTCAGAATATTTAATGAAATATATGACAAAAATGGGAGTCTCTATTACTTTCATATTCATTTTAAAAACAATAACAGATTTATTTTCCATTTATCTTAAGGTTTCATAAATTGCTGTGTTATTACCATCTTGCCTGCAGTTTTTGTTTTTTGTTTTAGTAAAGAGTCTATGGAAATTTGTAGATATATGTGGCAAAAGCAAGTTTCCGCAGCAGTACTAGGATAGAATGTCAATTTGAGATTATGGCTTACCAAAGTACAGGCAAAACAAGGTTGCATCCAGTGTAGTGGCTCTTGTCCTAGAGTGCTGATTATTAAATGGAACAAAACGAAACAAAAAACAGGGAAAACAAAACAAAAGTTCCCACCAAAATAATATGGTGGAGAGTTTATGAGAAACCACCAGAGACTCCTGAAACCCTGTGATGTTTGTGTCCAGAAATGCCCACTGGAACCTGGCAACTCTCATGAATCTGACCATTCTCTACATCTTCATTTTTCAAATACACACTTGTTTTCTATTTCATGTCATTTCCTCAAGGTTCTGCTGTGTCTTAATGCGTTTTAATACGATGGAAAAATACATGCTATTGTGTTTGGGTAGCAAATGATTTACCCTGGAAATATAATGTCTTAACTTAATTAAAATGCATGTCTCCACAAAGCCCTGAAGGAACAATGATAATGTGGAAATTTCAAACATTGTGTCAGCCTCATGGAGATCTATTTTTCACTGTGAGGGAATTTAGCATCCTTCAAATTTTGCTAGCATTGAATGGAAGATAAAGGCATGTTTCTACTCTGTAGCCTGAGTACCCAGTTGATTTATAAGATAATATTTTCTAAAAGTGGAGAAAATTTATCATACACACTGGAATTTAATTGTTTTTAATTTGGGAACATGCTGAAGATAATATGGACTACATGAGAGTAAAAACAATTAAAAATAAAGCTCAGTGCAGGGAGAGGTTTTTGTTAAAACTTCATTTAATATTTATACTTTCTTAAAACTGCCTTATACATTAAGGCCTTTTTAAAATATCTTTTTATTTTTGTATTTTTTAATTATTGATTAAAAATTTTTTGAGTAAGTAATACATTTGCATGTTTCGAATTCAAGACTATATGAGAGACAGAGTTAAGAATTAACATATTCTGCAATCAGATATTCTAACCACGAGAATAACAGTGTTTATCCAATACTTTAGAGGGCACATTAAGTTAAAAAAAAAGCCTTCTTTAATATAGAAATATTCAGAATAACAGAAACAAAATTAATAAAAATCTCTGCATTAAATTTTTAGCACTGAATAATGTTGGAATGAGTAGCTAATAATTTTTTATATTTAGGATTAAATTGTGCTACAATTACATAGATACTCAACTTTCACTTGCACAAGGATACTTTGGGAATCAATAGAAAGTTATTACTAGAAACTGAACTGCTTACAAAGAGAAAACTCTCCAAGAGAGAAATACACCTGGACTGTTCCAGAAGAAACAGTTCTCCTGTTCTCTTGTGGCTAAGGATGTTTGCCAGTTCTTCCTCATTGAGGAGGAATTAGACATTTTAATCTACATATCATTGAACAACATACACACCCATCATCTCACCAACCCCCACCACCCCCACACACATGCATATTTGAAGTTGAGAAAAAGTGGCAAACCCGCTAGAGAAAGTTACCTGGACATGTGGTTCCGCCTGACTATTGCAAGTTCAAAACAGGCTTTTCAGTTAAGTGGCACCCTTTCCAGAAGGTGCTCCATTAAAACTAATTTCTTACTGTATATAGCATGTTACTAATCATAAGCTGTTACGTTATCTGCAGCATGACATTGATGCTTATACAATTTACTGTAATATAAAGAATCCATTGACAGTTTATATGTCCATATAAACAGTATCATAGAGAAGATAATAGAATCTTGAAACATTAGAGCAGGAAGAAACATTAGAGCAGGAAGAAACCTTAGAGATAATTGCAACAACTGCTAAACTCAAATAACACTTACTATGTGACAGACATTGTTCTATGTTCTTTAATTATATTAACTTAATTGATCTCAACAACAAAACAACTGGCAGGTATTGTTATTTGCATTGTATAGAGATTAAAATTGAGGCACAGAAAGTTTAAGTGACTTGCCCTAGGTTACACAGCTTAATAATTTTTGAGTTGGGGTTTGAAATTGGCTCCAGAGTCTGTATTCTTAACCACAATAAGTCCAAGGATCATTCCCAAGCAAATGAAGGTAGAAAGTATCACAATAAAGGTAAAAATATTGGATTACAATCACATACAAAATTTTTGACTAGTGGAAGGAATTTGCCATCCATAGTCTTAGTTTTTGGTTATTGCAATGTGACTGCACTTAAGATAAATAGATTTGGCTGTCCCTCTTGATTAGTCTAAGCAATTATATACTTTATCTTAAAAAAAACTATAAAAGTCTATTAACTCAATATAGAATAATGGGGTTCATTTTTTAAGGAAAGATAAAGGCTTGAGCCTGCCACTCTTAATCCTCAATGAATATTTAAAACTTAAAACTATTTTCACTTGATACAAAATGATTTTATTAGAAATAATTGAAGTAATTACTCCCAAATTAATCTACGCTTCCTACTGCTTCATATTTCTAACTTTTTTCTTTTGAGCTTTTATGTTTCAAATGTAAAGTGCTTTGAGACTTTTTTGTAAAAGATGCTTTTCAAAATTCACACTGTCAAAGTGTTACTGTAAAACTCAGTTATATCAGGCCACAGTACATATGAGAACATTGATATGACTCATCTTGGATTCTCTATGTTGCTTATATGACACAAATCACAGATATAAATGGTTTTCAACTAGATAACAACAGATTGCCACTGTCTCGGTAAAATGACCTTGGATGAATAAACAAGTTTTTAGATTTTTATTTATTCCTAACTTGAAGAAAATCTCTCTTTCTCCGCTTAAGACTGATAACATGCATGGTGCTCTGGGTAACTAAGTGATGCTAAAATCTGAAAGAATGTCCTCAACCACCGGAATGCAGATGCTACCTAGAATTCTCAAAACATAAAACAGGAATCATAAATCAGTTTCTGGTCTTAAACAAATGGAAGTGTCTGTTTCTAAATGTGATTATTGTTTCCTCAAGCATTTCATTAAAGTGCTTAGTAAATTTTAACTGGCTTCTGACCATTTTTTGAAAGAGAGAAGGTTTGCAATGTTTGAGGAAAAAATGTATTATTTTATAATGTACTATATATATAAACATGTAATTTTCCTATATTGGTGCATATATATGAATCACAGGAGCCAAATGTAGCAGAGTGTCCTTGTCACTTCCCAATATCCATTTCATATCTCCATATTAACAGAATATTTAGCTAGGCACATGGCTACTTCGAATAAAACTGCATTTCTCAGCCTCCATTGCAATTAGTTGGGGTGCTGTGACTATATTTGGCTAATAGGAGGAGAAGAGATGTGATGCGATGAGAATGTGAGAAAATGTATCTTTTAAGAGCTTTTGGGGATATTCCTTAAGAGACAATGCAATTGTACCATGTGCCTCCCGTTACTTTTGTTTCTACCCATTGAGTGGAGCAGATGCTGATGCCTTGAAGCATGAGGTTAAGGCCACACGTGGTAGAGCCACTCAAGCTAATTCTGAGTTCTCAACACCATAAAGTGCCACACTAGTTACTGAGTGATAGACATATTTGAAGTGAAAATACAGCAGTTTTTCAAGCCAAGTCCTCCTGTATTCATGCCTGGGGCTAGCTCTTTCCTCATTGACTATAGGCTTACCTATGTATGCTGCTTTGGCCAGTGGGACAATTAGCAAACAATATAATCAGACATGAAAAGCGCTTGCACATTTAGGCTGCTCTTCTTCTGCTGCACTTGGAAACCTGACAAGGAAGCCTGCTGGAGGGTGACAGACATGTCAGCCAATCACCCCCACAATCATTGTACTAGTCAACAGCCAGCCCATCACCAGACCATCTGTTTTTGGTTAGATCATATGGGATCATCCAGTTTCTTCTAGTCCAGCCTGCTAAGTGCAGGCACATGGGTAAACTCAAATGAGATTAGCCAAGCCCAGATCACACTACAAGAACTTGAGCAAGGCCGGGCATGATGGATCATGCCTGTACTCCCAGCACTTTGGGAGGTCGAGGCAGGCAGATCACCTGAGGTCAGAGTTCGAGACCAGCCTGGCCAACATGGTGAAACCTCATCTCTACTAAAAATACAAAAATTAGCCACATGCGGTAGTGTGGGCCTATAATCCCAGCTACTCAGGAGGCTGAGGCGCAGAATCGCTTGAACCCGGGAGGCAGAGGCTGCAATTAGCCGAGATCATGCCACTGCACTCCAGCCTGGGTGACAGAGTGAGACTCTGTCTCAAACAAAAAAAACAAACAAAAAAATAATTTGAGCAAAATTCTAAAATAAATGAATACGTGTTGTGAAGCCACTAAGTTTTGGGTGGTTTGCAATACTAATAGATAATGATGCAGTTTCTAAAGTGTTATAATTATTTGATTATACATTATAAAATTACAAAAGCATAGTCTTTGCAGGCAGAGAACCTATTCAACTTTTTCAATTTGGACAAACTTTTGAGCTTAGCTTCCTACCCTCACATACATGGGCTGACCCTCAATCCTGGCTGACCTGGGACGGTCCTTGTTTTTCCTTGTTGTCCTAATATAATTTTAAATAACACCCACTTTTTCTCTCAAAAGTGTTCCAGTTGGGTCAATAAATTATATTGTGACCTTAAAATATATTTCATAAATTTGGAGTCAGGAAAAATGAGATAAAAAATAATGTTGATTATTATAATCAGTTATTGATAAGCAACCCATGTCCTTACTGAGCTCAAAATATGCAAAGCCCTACTGTAGGAGTTATGTGGATACAAAGATCAGGAACACATGGTCCATTTTTATTTTTATTTTTATGTATAAGTGTACATGTGAACCTATTTGTGTATTGTGTGAGCATAGTGGTTAAGATAGAAGATTTTAGAGCCAAGTTGCTTATGGTCAACTTTCATATGAACGCTGTGACCTTCTATACATCAGATTTTTCACCTTGAAAAGAAGATGACAATAAAAATACTTAAATCTGAAAACAGCATTTAGCACACAGTGCTATGTAAGTATGAGATAATCTTATAGGGAAAATGGAAGTGCTCTACTGCCTTACATTTTTGCCTATAACAACAAAAAACGAAAAATGTATTAACAGGCTTTTGAAAACTACGTACTTATGTACGGCAACACTTAAATATGACCTATCTTTGAGCTACAATGGAGTAAAACCTCAGAGCTTACTTTCACTGAGTGAAATGTTAAGTCTTGCTGCTATTTAAATCTCCCTCCCTCTCCTTTTCTGGTCACTATAGTTGATCTTGTCAAAATTTAATGGATTTAGGATGTCTTACACCTAATGCAAAATCCCTGTGTTGTCAAAACAAAGCAATATTTTACTCAAAAGATGAGTGCTGTCATTAATTTCTATTAAATAATTAGAATAGTATACATTGAGGTTAAAATGCTGATATGTTGTGACTATATTTACTCTTGTTTTCAAAACTAATTTAGATGTCTTTTGAGTTGCCAAAAGTACCCATTTTGTGCTGAAACAATTCTTATTGGATAAAAGAGTAAATACCTAGTTTAAGAGAAAATGTGTTAGTATGGCACATAATAATTGGGTATCTCAGAGATGTCCACTAGGTATATTATACATAGAGATATAAAAGTGTACTTCAGGATTATTAATGATGCTCTTTATTACTTATATGTGGCTTTAAGGAATGATATGTATATATTACACATAATAGAAAACTTCTCTTACATCTGACTATTATTTTTACTTTTTAACTTTGTCTTCATAAATACATGCTCTTTACCCAGTTTTTCTCTCAGCTCTGCCCTTCATAGTAATAATTAATATGCACTATATTTGTTGCCAGCTGCTGTTGATTCCAGTGGGCCAGAGCAATCACTACGTCATTTGAACTGTGCTTTATGTTGAATGGGTCTTGTATTTCTAAGTCAATACAGGCAATGTTTTACATAAGTTCAGATGCTAAAACTACCCCCAAAATTAAAATTTTGGAAGGATGGAAGCATCAAAAGTAATTCCTATCACTTGATTGTCCCACTTACTTTTAAAATATTAATTAATTTTATTTTGATTATACATATAAAGACCAAATCAGCATACATGAACATGAAAATTATCCTCAGTTTGCAGCTTAGACAATGAATAGAACAAATAAAAGAGAAAGTTAAAAGGATTTGATTGAGAGCTCTTTAATTATAAAAAGAGCAAACATAAACAAATAAAAAAATCACAGATTTTTCAGCCAGTTAGAACCCAGAATGAAAGAGAAGTAGTACTAAACTAGTGCTAGTACTAGTACTAAAACTGCAAAAGTTGCCTTTGCCCTATGACAGTCATTATTTTTAAGGCCGTCTTTGCCTGAATCTTCAAGTAAAGACAAAATAAAAGGAGTAACAGTTCCTCAAAACTTGTACCTGATAGAAATGTCAAAGAAGCTATAATTTTAGTCCAGACAAGACGTATATACCTTGCTAAAGGTGCTCTTTCAAATGAATAGTGTATTTTCTTTCTATTTCAAATAATCCTTTTGGCTTTTCTTTAACATTTTCTAACCCACCACAGAAAACCAAAATCTGAGAAGTAAAAATTGAAAGAGCAACAAATTAAAAATCAAATATTTTTTCTGAGCTTCCAACCTTAAATATGAACAGAATGACTTGTAAGAGTAACTACACTAAAGTAGGGGGAAAAAAGATTGTTTGGTAGCCACAAATTGCCTGTTGTATAGCAATTTGTGGCAGATTTTTGCTTAAACACCTCACAAGCAGAGGATAAGAGCTGTGCCTTCAGAACAGCAATAATAAAGGCCAGGGGTGGGAGTTGCGGGGTGGTTAGCAAGTAGCAAGCTTGATATACGGCAGCAATAAATATGCCCATCAAAAAGTCTTATAGTATACCAGGCTATACTAATAGAACCAGAAAAGTGGCAGTTTCTTTTTGTTTGCTCTGGACAAAATACTCCTGAACAATGGTGATCGGATATAGAAGCCACACTTGACATAATATATTTATCAATAAGCATGATCAGAGGAGAGCAACCAAGATGATAAAGGAATTCAAAATAATATTCAGTGGAATGACTTGTAAATGCTAGAAAGAGATAGGGAAGAAAAGATTCAACAGGCAAGTGGAAGGTCGTGATGGGAAAGTGCAAACAATTGAAGAGAAGGAAAAAGAAACCGCACTTGCTTTATGGCTCCCATTTTTTTTTTTTTAGAGAGAGATTTTGTTCAATAATAAAAACTTTCTGAAAGGTCAGACTCTTCAAAGAAAGAATAAACCATCTCAAAAGTTAATATGTTCCCATTCACTGAAATATTGATTCAGACAACACAGCTATCAAGCAGAAAAGCAACAGATTTAGTAATATGAGAGTAATTGAGTTATATAATGTTTAATGTTCCTTCCAGGTCTGAGGGGCCTTGATTCTATGATGTTCAAATGTACATTTAGCTAAGAGAAAGTAAAGCTATTTGTTTTCATAATAAGGAATGTGAGTAACCGTGAAAAAGGTTCAATTTAACACATAACTCCAAAAAATCTCAATATGATAAATTTTGTAGGAAAATTATTTTCCAAATCAAAAGAGGGCCAAAAGATAGGTCAAAGTCTACCTGAAAGAAAATATCATTGTTTTCTGATCTGAGATTTATTTACAAAGGAACTCAGAGACTTAAATTTGAAGAAAGAAAAAGTAACAACAAGAACAACAAAAATTTTAAAATTTAAAGTGAGCATTTCAGGTAGAATTTCCTAATGTATATAGATTTGTTTTTAATGTGCAGCTCATGTAGGAGGAGAAAAAAAAGAAATGTACGCTTTTTTTGTAAGAGAAAGCAGAATGCTCCCAGGAGAATGCTATGTTCTCAGTATTTTTAAATGTCCAATATGTGCCTAGGATCTCACAAACTGCTTCTGTTATCATGGTTTCCCAACTCGAACTGCCTTGTCACAGCATATTTTCAAACCCACTTCAGTATGTAGCCATCGTTTGCTCTTGTCTCCTGAAGTAAAGGTAGACTCAATCTCTGACCTAGACTCTCAGGCTACCTGGTCTCTTTAACTTCCACTTGCTATTCCTTTATAGAAGCTCATTGTAGATTCCAAAGAGATGGGAATTGTGACCCTTCTTATCTATACAGTCCAGCAGGAAAATACAGTTACTCTATGTAATTTGAAAATATTCAAGAGGGATATAACTCAATAAAAATTTATTTCCAGTCTTATTCTCATAGATGTCCATGCTACAGTGCAGAAAATCAATTTTGAATAATTTTGGTTGCTTTGTGAAAGCTTCTTAGAAACTCTCCAAAAATGGCTCACATTTACTAGACCCTAAGGACCATCCCCTTACTGTTCGTAAAGTGCATACAAAAATCCCATTGCCTTGAATAAGAGGACAAGACACGCCTTAAAATATTTACTGATTATTAATTTTCTCATGCTAAGAATTCATTCTTTTTCACATTTAATAATCATCCCAACACCATTTCACTCAAATGCTTAAATATACCACTGGATCAAATGCTTAAATACACCACTGGAAAGACTCATTTTGTGTTTTGATGGATTCATACATGTGAATGGAGATCAGAACAGTACTAATATTGTTATGCGGCACTTAAGTAACTAACCTTTAATCATGTTCAGAAATGGCACAGAAACATCCATGAATTTAAGCCTCCCTGAGACTCACCATGTATAATCTGAGACCCAGGATTAAAATCACTTCTACAATTTTCCTCATTGAGAGTAGTCTCAGCTACATTTGAATGAGTCTCTTCAGTTTGCCATGGAAAATTTATTTATACCTATCTTAGGGAGTATATTTTGATGCAATCTCATGCTCACATTCATCAGGAGCAGTTATACTTCACTTTAAGTTATGATGCTTCTTTTAAAGATGAAGGAGCCAATGAGAAATAACCATTAACAACATTTCTTGGTTAGAATCATCTCTTTTATTCTTTTCAGCATATAACCCTGGAGTTTTGATCACACAGTTGGCAAACAGCTTGTGTATTAAAAAAAAACAACAGCAGCAACAAAAAAAACTTTTTTGAGGAAAGACTTACCCTGAACGTACCTGTAGCAACCTAGTAATTAAGTATAAAATAGGAATATTTCTTCAATAATATAAACCATTGGCAAATTAGATGTCAGAAAATGCTAACGTAAATTAAGGCTGCTAAAAGTATGGCTGCAACAAATTAAATTTAAGAGGGTGTAGTCAATGAAAATATTAAGAACACATATTTCTTTATTTTATTCTTATATTAATTTAGATGCTCAGAAAGAAATGTCCCTAGGATACATTTATTTACCTCTCTAAATAAAAAAAACCTTCAATTAATTGCTTCTGTGTTATGCTCAGAGTTTTAAACAAAGTTTAAGGATTTACCACCCGAAATGTTTTTATTTATCTTCTGCAGATGACATGCAAAATTGCCTATTATAATACCAGATACATGGTAAATCTTGATAACAGTAAATAAAATTCAGAGGAATTATACTTGTATCATATTGTTAACTGATACTTAACACCAAGAAAACTAAATCCTCCAAAGTTTTATAGGAATTTCTTTCAGGGCAGTTGTTCATATCTTCTACAGGTAAAATTAATCCTTTATGTTTAAATTCATTACTCTCCTTGATTCTGTTTTAAATATTATTCCATGTGCTTTGGTGAAGTATTCTAGTCTCCTGGAATAATTTTAAGTCTTAATTCTGAAACACTAAAATTTACTACACTTCCCAGTATCATGAAAATTTAATAAGCAATCCTTTTATCTAAACATTGCTGACAATAGTGACTTGCATAGGGCCAAGGACAGAACACTATGGTGCTCAATAGATACCTTTTCAAGGGCAAAGATTTGTTCTTTAGGGGGGTTGACAGCACAGTGAATTAATTCAATTCATTCTTGGCACAAATGTGGCCATTCAGCATAATTTCTTAATTATGATAAAGATGAAAAAGTGAAAGCAACTATTTCAGACCAAAGTAAAGGTATGTAGAATGAAGATACTGTGTGATGTACTCTACGTCCATGAGAGATTTGAACCTTTCATATTAATCACATCTAATTCTTTGAACAACTCACCAACATCATTTAAAGACATAATTAGCACTAAATAGCAAGAGAGGATCACCAACTGAGAGGTCATGGAATGAAGCCAGAGTATTGACATTGGAGACTACTCATGTTATTTGCTTCAACAAACTCCACTAGGTTTGATGTGTGCAGACAATGGACATTTGGACAGTAGCTGTATGATGAGATGAAGTGGAACCAATGTACAGTAGAAACATTTAAAACATACAGGCCACTTGGAATATGGCCAGTATGAGTAAAATGGTACATTCTGATTAAAATGCTGAAACTATGAGGGAAGAAATAGAATGGCAATCTGAAAGGTTTTTGTGACTAATGTCTCCAGTTGTCAACCAATATGCAGCTTCAGTGCATGGTCACGAATAGCAGCTGCCTTTGCTCATATCTTCAAAGTAGAGGAAGAGGTGTCAAAGACACAGAATTAGCATTTGTACTTGTAATATTTAAATCAAAATTATGACCATTACAAAAAACACAAAGAATAAATCGAACAGCACTGTTTCTGTGTCTTCATCTACAGTACCATATCCCTATGCATGAATTGATATGGAGAGAAGATTGTGTAACATTTCAAATTATATTTTATACTGAATGTTTTCATTATGAAAGTCAATGGAAAACAATCAGAAACCAACGACACTAAATTAACATGGCTAAACTGAATCACAGTGAGCTCCCTCTAGGTATCAGAGAGACCAGTTAAGCCACACAGCATGAAAAAGTCACTAGGTGGCACGGTGCTGTGTGAGGTGCTCAGCAGAGTGAAAGATGCCAGGCTTTGGACTCAGAAAAGACGTAGTTTGGATCCCTGCACCACCCCTCACTAGCTATTCTACTCTGGGCAGTCACTTAACCCCTCTGAGACAGTTTCCTCACACTTCAAATGAGGATAATAATACCTGAAATTCTTGTGAAAGTACTGAGAAAATGTAATATACACTAAGAGTAGTGGCAGCTGCAACAGTCATTTCCCTAGATTCCCATTCCAATTGTTTTGGACAAGAAACAACACCAAAATTAGGAGGCAACAATTATTTATTTGGGGCTACATAAACTAGATTGCATAATTTCTTTTTTCTGTAGGACTATGGTTTGGTCTGAAATAATTGGTTGCAAAGAAATAGGTCTGAAACAATTGAGAATTTGCCTATGATTTCAGGTTTGAGCAGATATATGGTAAATCAGAAAAGCCCATGTAGGTAACAAACCTCCTGGAATAATAATAACCTGGAGGTTGGTTAAAAATGAAGGTGGGCCGGGCGCGGTGGCTCACGCCTGTAATCCCAACACTTTGGGAGGCCGAGGCAGGAGAATGGCGTGAACCCGGGAGGCGGAGCTTGTAGTGAGCCGAGATCGCACCACTGCACTCCAACCTGGACGACAGACCGAGACTCCGTCTCAAAGAAAAAAAAAAAAAAAATGAAGGTGGAGCCAGGAGTCGTGGCTCATACCTGTAATCCCATTCTTTAGGGAGGATAAGACAGGAGGACCATTTGAGCTCAGGGGTTTGAGAACAGCCTGGGCAACATAGTGAGAACCCAGTCTCTTAAATAAATACATATATATATATTTTAATTAGGGTGGAGCACAACCACTTTGGAAAGCGGTTTGGCAGTATTTGTTATACTAAAGCTGAAGGTATATCCTATGACCCAGCAATTTCACTCTGAGGTATAGAACAAACAAATGCATACTCATATTCACCAAAAGATGTGTCCTAGAATGTTCATAGCAGCACTATTCAAAACAGCTTCAAACTGGAAATTACACAAAAGATCATCAATAGTTGACAGATAAAGTATGATATGTTCACACAAAAGAATTTAACAATAAGGATGAATGGCCTACAATTAAATGTAATATTATGGATGACTCTCACTCCCATCATGTTAAGTAAAAAAAAAACAAACACAAAAGAATACATACATTGTGGAATTCTAGTTCTATAAGATATATAAAAAGGAAAAGCAAAACCAAGAAAAGCTAAACCATGTCGTTAGAAGTCAGGATAGGGGTTACCCTTTGGAGTTGGGACATAGTGACTGGAGGCAAGAATGGGATTTTTATGGTGCTGGTGATTTTCTATTGTTTGATCTGTGTACAATTTGATCTGTGTACAATTTGATCTGTGAATGGGTTTATTAAATTTGCAAAAATTCACTAAGCCCTGCATTTATATGTGCACCTTCCTCTATGTGTATTATACTCAATTTAAAAAATTAAGAAATTACAGTGGGCTAATATTCAGTGTTTGACTTTAGCATATTATTCGGTCCTTTATCAGATGGACTTCAGAAGCCATCAGTACACAGGGCAAGAGAGTCCTCAAAAAGCTTTAGACCAGAACAAGTTTTAGTGTGTATTACTCAGTTTCTGAATAAATGCCAGAAAACACATTGTTCGGAGACATTATTAAAATTCATGCAATTTAAATGTTAATGTTTTAAGCATAACCTTATGCTAGGAGAGAATGCTCTATTTGCTATTTGCTTACAATATGTAAATGTATAATTTACATAACTCTATTCTAATATTTTGCCTATAAAAAGTTGAATTAGTAAAGTCTTTTTTATCTCCATTGCATACATGTATATATGTAATGTATATTTATATGTAATGTTATCATCTACCCCCTCAACTCATTTCTGGACATAGTAAAGAAATGTATTGCCACCGACTGGTGACCCACTGTAGGTACATGGTATGTAAAACTTTAGGAAGATAAATATTGCAATGTGTATTACTTTACAGTTTATATACCTTGACATGTAAGATCACATTTACATTTTAATGTTTTTAAAATTTTTCTGTAAATAAAATGCTACTTTATATAATGAAATTCTAATTTATGTATTTGAAACATTACTTTATATATTTGGTTTACAATTTATTGAGATGACTTAATCCTCATTTCAAAAGTATACTGTTCTGCTATCCACGTCTGCTGCATTAAAAATGATAGCCATTTTAAAAGGTTTAGTGAAACTTGGTTGTATGTGATCCTTTTTCGATGGGATAAAAGCCTGGTCTTGTTCAGACATTCTTTCTACTTTTGAGGGAGCTGAATATTTTTATTAAATTCATGTACTCAGTTTTCTTTGAGAAAAGACAACCTCACAACACTCATTAACATCACATCTTTATAACTTCTTTCAGTTGGTATTTAGACCTCAGTGTGCAAAAAGAGTGCACTAATTGCCATAATGGATTAATTTCCCTGAGTAATGAACATGTCAAATGTACTTTTAGTTCTATCAATTTCCTCTAAAGCCAGAACTCCAAAGAGAAGGTATTTTGTTCTCAAAACAGCACACATCAGTTATAGGGTTCCCTGGAGCTTCCACCTTCTTTGTCTGCTGCTCTCTATGTCTTGTGGAGCAAACATCATGGCTATGACAAAGCCTCCTTCCTGGTGAAGAATCTTGGAAACAGTCTCTCAAAGGGAGGAAACCTTCCTATTCTATTTTTTTCCATCATCATCTTGTTTCATACAATCAAATATTTTTACAGTTCATTAGTTTTGGATTCTCCTTCCTTCCTTTGTCTTTACCCATTTCCTACTCTAGATCATACCCTTCAGGGCAGTGATATGTGTATCTACCTCCCTCTTTCTCCTCTCTATGCAAGTCCCTTTTAACTGACAGTGACAAGGACAGGAAATAAAGGCGATCAAGATGCAGTTTCTACCCTCAAAGAACTTGCAAGTCAATGGTCAGAACCTGCTCTTTGGGTGATCTAGAGAATTAATTGCAAAAGGCTATAACAATTGATCAAATAAATATATTTTCCTGTATAATTAAAAAGGATTAATTATAAGAGCTAATAATTTTCACTACAAACAGTACTCAAATGTAAGATTGTTCTATTTTCCAGATTTCACATTTGCACATAACCTGTTATTTAAAAATTAAGCTTCTAAGCCCTCTTTATAATGGGTGTTTAGAGTGTACTCCTTAAATCTAATAACATCTTACAGGATAGGAAAATCAGAAGAGTCAGAGAACAGGGGAGAACTATATTTGAGAGGGCAGAGGGCTCTTTGAATGCTCCCGAAATCACCCCAATAGGCAGCTGGTGTCAGTCAGAATAGCTTATAGCTAGAAATAATATTAACAGTATAAAATTATTTTCCTGAATATTAGAATCTACATTTGCATTAATGCAAAATACCTATGTAGAAATGCTATTACTTCAACTGCAAATTAGTGTATAAGAGTGGTGCAGAATGTTAAATAACTTTACAGAAGAAAAGCATATACTTCTCCTATTCTCTGCAGGAGTATTTTACATCTATAGTCAGGTTGCTGTTGCTGAGATGTCTTGGCTTCCTGGTGATTTATAAAAGCAGAAAAAAAAAACTGTGAGATTATTTGGTATTGCATGCATGGTGTCTCAAGATATCTGCACATACTGTTTGAGCCAATGTTCCTAAAATTCAACCATGTTAGGCTAGTATTTCTCTGGCCATAATTATTTAAGGGTAATAACTATAATTACTGCAGTGCTGCACAAAATTGGATAACTTTACTAAGTTATAAACATGTACATCCACCAATTACAGAGGAAAAGAACTTGTATAAAGTTATCAAAATACGTCTTATACTGAAAAGATACGTATTAACTTATGTAGCAAAAATTTATTTTATCATCTACTATTTTAGATTTTTGGAATAAAATACGAAATGCTTTCCCCTTTAAAGGACATAGTCTCAAAAGGAAGACAGATGCATACACAAGTAAACACAGTGATAAGGGTGGAGTAGAATATGCTGCCCCTCTGCTCAGTCTCTGTTGACTCCTCATCCTCTGATTTCTCCTTAAAATTGGTGTTCTGTGGCATTCTTTTCTCCTCTTCTCACTATGCATTATCCCTGGGCGATTTCTTTCTCTATAATTGACTTCAATTACCCCTTCCATTGTTGTAAGTCCTAGATATTTCTTTTCAGTCCAGATGGCTCTTTCAATTCTCTCTCCAGAGTCTACTAAACACCACTACCTGGATACCCCAGGCCCCAGGTCTCAAAAGCAACTTAGCAAGAACAGAATTTATCATCTTTCTTTCCCTTCCTCCTCTATTTACCTATCTTAAATGTATATATAAAATTATAATGTCCCGTGGCCCTGGCCAGAAACCCAGGGGTTACCCTGATCCCTCCCACGTCTTTCTTTCGCTATCTAGTCTGTGTGCCCCCGTAGCCTGCCTCTTTGCTATACCTTGCAGCCTTGCATCTGAATACATTCCTTTCCCATTGTCTCAATTCAAGCTTTCATTTGCCCACCTATTCGTTCATTTATTTGGCAAATGTTTCTGAAGAGGCTTTTCCATTTCAGGCTTTCATTATCTTGGTGCAATGTGTTTTGTGCCTTTAGTATCATTCCTGTAAAACATAGAAACCTTCCTCAATTCTGCCAGAACAATGATTCGAAAACACAAATCTGGTCCTGTTTCTTCTCTACTGAAAGTCCTTCTTTGGCTTTTCATAGTCATAAAATGTGGTGTTCACATATTAAGTGAAAAGGGAAAGAAGGTGTCAGGAAACTATTAAAATATTAATAATCTTTCAGCATCTAATTCTAAAGTAGACTTGATAAAAAATCAGACAGCAAATGTCAAATCTGCTACTCTTCTTCCATGCTACCAAAGTCTGAATAGCTTGGAATGGCCGATAACAACAATAATCAATTTCTTCCTTTGTTCCTTTCCTCCCATACTAATTAAGGAAAGATGAGGACATATATTCATATTTCTGGTACACATATTTAAGTTATTTCTAAAAATTACCAGGGGACAATGAGGAGTTTGAAAACAACATATTTGGAATATCAAATCTCTCAGGACAAAAAGCAAAGGTGGCTGAATCAGCAGAATATTCCCACTACCATACTCTCATAAGATTCTGTCCACCACCTAAGTAATATCTCTCCCTTTATTTTGATGCAAGTGATTGAAAAAGTGTGGTAAGAGGAAAATGGAATTGACATAAAATAATGTTATAGTGTAACACTTTCAAACTGTTTGTAAAAAACTCTCTTCATGTCAGATTTAGCCCTGTGACAACATAGCACAGGGAGTATAATCTGTTCTATAATATATTCTAGGAAACCGCAAACCAAATACTGTCTGTCTCAATTATCCCAAGAGCTTAGAGGTCATGGAGGTATGGATTCTGGAGCATGTTGATCTAAAACCATTCTTAAAATATAACTTCAATATGCCACACAGATAAGTTTGGAGTTACTCATGTTGAAGCTGGATAAAGCATTGGAGCCCTGCTTACCCCTCTGACTGTCCTCATCTCCACTGATCTCCTGGAGGCCTCTCCAGCTGCAGTTTTCTTCTAGAAAATCCTGATCATAAACACATTAGCTCATGGAACAATGTCTGTACCTTTTCATATGGCATACCAAGCCCTCCAGAGTCCTGTTTCTAATTTTCTATTTTGATCACTTACTTTGTACCACCCTCCCAGCCACCAATTTACCCCGCCTCCACTTTTACACATTCTTCCACCCCAACGGTCTGTGAACCAGCCCACTGCTTGCACATGAGGTTACTTCAAGAGAATGCCTTTCACTCATAGGGTTCTTTCTTCATTCTCCATGCCCTCTTACCTCCATCCACCCATCACCTCTCATGTTGCAAGGCTTAGCTAAGAGATCACCATCTATTGGAAGTGCTTCCTGGCCCTTCAATTAGAATTGTGCAGTGCTGAGGTTTCAGGGATCATGGCGGACGGGATGCAGGACTAAATTGCATCTCCGACTCGGGTGGACAGAGCAGTGTGTGGAGGCTTACGTCTTGAATGTTTGCTCCAGAGCAACTGCAGGAATAAATCAGGAAACCTGAGAAGGCTCACAGACCCCCTGAAGGAAGGCTATTGCTACTGCAGGACCCAGGAGACACCCCAAATACTGTGAGTACCCATACTGTGGAAGTGGGAAAGGGAAATCATCCATTGCCGAACACACACCCCCACTGGGGAAACTGAAGGCCTAGATTACTGGAGAAGATTTTGACCTTACCTGGAGCTGAGTCCATTTAGAGAGCTGAGAGAAATACAGGGGTAGAGGAAGCAGCAGGAAAAGTCCTGGGAGCTTGCTGTGTTCCCCATCAAGTGGGTTTTGCCTGGCCTCATAGGAGTCCTTCAAGAGGACGGCCAGAGGGTCTGAGAAAAGGCCACAGGACAAAGGAAATTTCCATGTGAACATTGTAACAATTTGAACCGACTGAGAAGCCTCCTGGCCAGAACTTGGGGGAGGGCGTGAATCCAGTGTGCAGATTCCACAGGTCGGGGAAGAAGGAAAGCCATATTTGCTTTTGCAGCTGGGAGGCGGGTGGCCTGAGGCAAGTTCTCAGCCCTACTCGCCCACTGCCTGGAAACAGACTTGGTGCTGTTGGAGGTGGCATGGTGGGAGTGAACTGGCCCTCAAGATTGCATGGGAGCTGGGTGAGGCCTGTGACTTCCAGCTTTCCCCTACTTCCCTGACAACCTGCATGACACAGTAGAGACAGTCATAATCTTCCTAGGAACTTAACTCTATTGACCTGGGAACCTCACCCCCATCTCCCACAACAGCCTCAGTAAGACCCACCCAAGGAGAGTCTGAGCTTAGCCATGCCTAGCCCTGCCCTCATCCAGTAGTCTTTCCCTACCCAGCCTGGTAACTGAAGACAAAGGGCAGATACTCTTGGGAGTTCTAGGGCCCTGCCCACTGCCTGCTCCTCCCCACAGTACCACAGCTGATGTTCTCTGGAAAGTGCCACCTCCCGGCAGGAGGCCAACCAACACAAAAATAGTGCATTAAACCATGAAAGCTAAGAACCCTCACAGTGTTCATTTCACCCCCCTGCCACCTCCACCAGAACAGGTGCTGGTATCCATGGCTGAGAGACCCACAGACAGTTCACATCACAGGACTCTATGCAGACAACCTCCAGTACCAGCCCAGAGCTGGGTAGACTTGCTGGGTGGCTAGATCCAGTATAGAGATAGCAATTACTACAGCTCGGCTCTCAGGAAGCCACAACCATAGGAAAATGGGGAGAGTACAACATCAAGGGAACATCCCATTGGACAAAAGAATATGAACAACAGCCTGCAGCCCTAGACCTTCCCTCTGACAGAGCCTACCCAAATGAGAAGGAACCAGAAAGCCAACTCTGGTAATATGACAAAACAATGTTATCTAGCACCTCCAAAAAATCACACTAGCTCACCAGCAATGAACCCAAACCAAGAAGAAATCCCTGATTTACCTGAAAAAGAATTCAGGAGGTTAGTTATTAAGCTAATCACAGAGGCACCAAAGAAAGGCAAAGCCCAATGTAAGAAAATCCAAAAAATGGTACAACAAGTAAAGGGAGAACTATTCAAGCAAATAGATAGCATAAATAAAAAACAATCAAAATTTCAGGAAACAATGGACACACTTATAGAAATGCAAAATGCTCTGGAAAGTCTCAGCAATAGAATTAAACAAATGGAAGAAAGAAATTCAGAGTTTGAAGACAAAGTCTTCAAAGTAACCCAGTCCAACAAAGACAAAGAAAAAAAGAATAAGAAAATATGAATAAAGCCTCCAAGAATTCTGGGACTATGTTAAATGACCAAACCTAAAAATGTTTGGTATTACTGAGAAAGAAGAGAAATCTATAAGTTTGGAAAACACATTTGGGGGAATAATAGAGGAAAACTTCCCTGGCCTTGCTAGAGATCTAGACATCCAAATACAAGAAGCATAAAGAACACCTTGGAAATTCATCGCAAAAAGATCATCGCCTTAGCACACTGTCACCAGGTTATCTAAAGTTAAGACAAAGGAAAGAATCTTAAGAACTGTGGGACAAAAGCACCAGGTAACCTGTAAAAGAAAACCTATTAGATTAACAGCAGATTTCTCAGCAGAAACCCTACAAGCTAGAAGGGACTGGGGTCCTATCTTCAGCCTCCTCAAACAAAACAATTATCAATCAAGAATTTTGTATCCAGTGAAACTAAGCTTCATATATAAAGAAAAGATAGTCTTTTTCAGACAAGCAAATGCTGAGAGAAACTGCCACTACGAAGCCACCACTACAAGAACCGCTAAAAGGAGCTCCAGATCTTGAAACAAATCCTGGAAATACATCAAAACAGAACCTCTTTGAAGCATAAATGTCACAGGATGTATAAAACAAAAATACAATTTAAAAAACAAAAACAAAAAACCAAGGTATACAGGCAACAAATAGTAGGATGAATTGAATGGCACCTCAAATGTCAATTCTAACATTGAATGTAAATGGCCTAAATGCTACAATTATAATACACAGAATTGCAAAATGGATAAGAAATCACCAACCATCTGCTGCATTCGAGAGACTCAACTAAAACATAAGGACTCACACAAACTTAAGGTAAAGGGGTGGAAAAGATATTTCAGGCAAATGGACACCAAAAGTGAGCAGGAGTAGCTATTTTTATATCAGACAAAACAAGCTTTAAAGCAATAGCAGTAAAAAAAAAATAATAAAGAGGGACATTATATAATGATAAAAGGCCTTGTCCAACAGGAAAATATCACAATCCTAAATATATATATGCCTAACACTGGAGTCCCCAAATGTATAAAACAATTACTAATAGACCTAAGAAATGAGATAGACAGCAACACAATAATAGTGGGGGACTTTAATATTCCACTGACAGCACTAGACAAGTTATCAAGACAGAAAAGTCAACAAACAAACAATGAATTTAAACTGTGCCCAGGAACAAATGGAGTTACCAGATATATACAGAACATTCCATCCAACAACCACAGAATATACATTCTATTCAACAGCAAATGGAACTTTCTGCAAGATAGACCATATGATAGGCCACAGAATGAAACTCAACAAATTTAAGAAAATTGGCATAACATCAAGCACTCTCTCAGACCACAGTGGAATAAAACTGGAAATCAATTCCAAAAGGAACCTTCAAAACCATGTAAATACATGGAAATTAAATAACCTGCTCATGAATGATCACTGGGTCAAAAATGAAATCAAGATGGAAATTAAAAAATTCTTTGAACTGAATGGCAATAAGCAACACAACCTATCAAATACCTCTGGGATACAGCAAAGGCAGTGCTAAGAGGAAAGTTCATAGCCCAAAAGGCCTACATTATCAAAAAGCCTGAGAGAGCACAAACAATCTAAGATCACACCTCAAGGAACTAGAGAAACAAGAACAAACAAAACCCAAACCCAGCAGAAGAAAGGAAATAACCAAGATTAGAGAATAACTAAATGAAAGTGAAAAAAAAATACAAAAGATGAATAAAAACAAAAAGCTGGTTCTTTGAAAAGATAAATACAACTGACAGACCATTAGCAAGATTAACCAAGAAAAGAGAGAAAATCCAAATAAGCTCAATAAGAAATGAAACAGGAGATATTACAACTGATACCACAGAAATACAAAAGATCATTCAAGGCTACGATGAATACCTTTACACTCATAAACTAGAAAATCTAGAAGAGATGAATAAATTCCTGGAAAGCTACAACCCTCCTAGCTTAAATCAGGAAGAATTAGATACCCTGAACAGACCAATAACAATCAGCGAGGTTGTATGGTAATTAAAAAATTACCTATAACAAAAAGTTCAGGACCAAATGGATTCACAGCAGAATGCTACCAGACAGTCAAAGAAGAATTGGTACCAATCCTATTGGCACTATTCCACAACATGGAGAAAGAGGGAACCCTCCCTAAATCATTCTATGAAGCCAGTATCACCCTAATACCCAAACCAGGAAAGGACATAATCAAAAAAGAAAACTACAGACCAATATCCCTGATGAACATAGTTGCTAAAATCCCTAACAAAATACTAGCTAACCAAATCCAACAACATACAAAAAGATAATTCAGTATGATCAAGTGGGTTTCATTACACAGGATGCAGGGATGGTTTAAATATGCAAGTGAATAAATGTGATACACCACATAAACAGAATTAAAAACAAAAATCACATGATCATCTCAATAGATGCAGATAAAGCATTTGACAAAACCCAGCATCCCTTTATGATTAAAACTCTCAGCAAAACTCACATTGAAAGAACATATCTCAATATAATAAAAGCCATCTATGACAAACCCACAGCCAATATAATACTAAATGGGGAAAAGTTGAAAGCATTCCCTCTCAGAACTGGAACAAGACAAGGATGCCCACTGTCACCACTCCTCTTCAACATAGTACTGGAAGTCCTAGCCAGAGCAATCAGACAAGAGAAAGAAAGAGCATACAAATCGGTAAAGAGGAAGTCAAACTGTCACTGTTTGCTGATGATATGATCATTTACCTAGAAAACCCTAAAGACTCTTCCAGAAAGCTCCTAGAACTGATAAAAGAATTCATCAAAGTTTCCAGATACGGAATTAATGTACACAAATCAGTAGCCCTTCTATATGCCAACAGCAACCGAACTGAGAATCAAATAAAAAACTCAACCCCTTTTACAATAGCTGCAAAAAAATAAAATAAAATACTTAGGAATATACATAACCAAGGAGGTGAAAGATCTCTACAAGGAAAACCACCAAACACTACTGAAAGAAATCATAGATGACACAAACAAATGGAAATACATCCCATGCTCATGGATGGATAGAGTCAATATTGTGAAAATGACCACACTGCCAAAAGCAATCTACAAATTCAATGCAATTCTCATCAAAATACCAATATCATTCTTCACAGAATTAGAAAAAAAGAATTCTAAAATTCATATGGAGGAAAAAAAAAAAAAAAAAGCAAGACTAACCAAGAAGAGCAAATCTGGAGGCATCACATTACCTGATTTCAAACTATACTGTAAGGCCATAGTCACCAAAACAGCATGGTAATGGTATAAAAATAGGCACATAGACCAATGGAACAGAATAGACAACCCAGAAATAAACCCAAATACTTATATCCAACTGATCTTTCACAAAGCAAATGAAAACTTAAAATGGGGAAAGGACATCCTATTCAACAAATGGTGCTGGAATAATTGGCTAGCCACATGTAGAAGAATGAAACTGGATCCTCATCTATCACCTTATATAAAAATTAACTCAAGATGGATTAAGGACTTAAATCTAAGACATGAAACTATAAAAATTCTAGAAGGCAACATTGGAAAAACCCTTCTAGACACTGACTTAAGAAAGGATTTCATGACCAAGAACCCAAAAGCAAATGCCTTAAAAATGAGGATAAATTGTTGGGACTTAATTAAACTAAGGAGCTTTTACACGGCAAAAGGAACAGTCAGCAGAGTAAACAGGCAACCCACAGAGTGGAAACAAATCTTCACAATCTATACATACGACAAAAGGACTAATATCCAGAATCTACAATTAACTCAAACAAATCAACAAGTAAAAAACAAACAGTCCCATCAAAAAGCGGGCTAAGGTCATGAATAGACAATTCTCAAAAGAAGATATACAAATGGCCAACAAACATATGAAAAAATGCTCAACATCACTAATGATCAGGGAAATGCAAATCAAAACCACAATGCGATACTAGCTTACGCCTGGTAGAATGGCCATAATCAAAAAATAGTAGATGTTGGTGTGGATGCAGTGAACAGGAAACACTTCTACACTGCTGGTGGGAATGAACATAAACTAGTACAACCACTGTGGAAGTGGTAGAGATTCCTTAAAGAACTAAAACCAGAATTACCATTTGATCCAGCAATCCCACTACTGGGTATCTACCCAGAGGAAAAGAAGTCATTATATGAAAAAGATACTTGCATGCATGTTTATAGCAGTACAATTCATAATTACACACGTGGAACCAACCCAAATGCTCATCAATCAACAAGTGGATAAAGAAATTGTAGCATATATATATATACACACACACACACAAACACACACACTACATCATGTATATATATATATATATATATATTATATATATATATATACACATATATATATGATGGAATACTACTCAGCCATAAAAAGGAATAAATTAATGGCATTCACAGTAACCTGGATATGAGATTAGAGATTATTATTCTAAGTGAAGAAACTCAGGAATAGAAAACCAAACATTGTATATTCTCACTCATAAGTGGGAGCTAAGCTATGAGGATGCAAAGGCATAAGAATGACACAATGGACTTCGGGGACTCAGGGGGAAACGAAAGAAAGGGGGTGAGCCATAAAAAAACTAACAATAGGGTGCAGTGAATACTGTTCCGTTGATGGGTACACCAAAATCTCACACATCACCACTAAAGAGCTTAGTCATGTAACCAAACACATAACATAACACATAACCAAACAATAACATAGGTTATTGTTCTCCAATAACCTATGAAGGAGAAAAAAAAAAGAATTGTACAGTACCTTATCCCACTGTACTAGACACTAGACACCCTTCCAAGGCAATGTCTGTAAAACCGTATTGTATTATGTATTTGTTAATAACTAGTTTGTTTAAAATATGATAAATTTTAACAACACAGAATAATATAAAGAAGCAAATAACAAGCATCTATATTCCTTTCACCCACAATTTATCACATTTGAATTTTTAATTTATTTGTTTTAATCTTTTTGTTTTTAATATTTTTAAAGAAAATTGCTTTTGTGTAAAAATAAATTCTGCTTATTGTAAATATTTCAAATAGTGCTGAAAATCATGGAGATGAATGTTTTTAAAAATTTAAAATGTTATTACATGGAAATGAACCCTATCATACAAAGTATATATCTAGATAGGATGAGGAGGCTAAGTAGGCTGACATTTTATTAAAATGGGATCATATTATACATATTATTTATGTGATTTTAATGGAAAAAAAGAAACTAAAGAACACCTGAAGGAACTACTTAACTTCCAGTAAGTTGTTTCTCAAGATAAGAATATTCTCATTTAAAAGACTTCTACATTTACAAAACAAGTTTACAAAAAGCATTAAGACACTGGACTCAGACTGGTTCTTTCACAAGTACATTTAAATTTTAAATGGCTTTATCTTCCTGCTATGCAATATGAAGACCTTAATATCTTTATACTTCAATCTATTTTTCCACTCTACCTTTCTTTTCTTATTTTTTGTAGGGATGGGGTCTCACTATGTTGCCTAGGCTGGTCTCAAACTCCTGGCCTCAAGTCATCCTCTCACCACAGCCTCTCAAAGTGCTGGGATCAAGGTGTAAGCCACCACACTTGGCCTACCTATTTTTTTATTATATTATTAATTTAATATTGTCCAAGTTTTAATATTTACTTTTCTCTTTTAACTTTTATTTTGATATAATTTCAGAGCTACAAAGAAGCACAAGGAATTCCAATTTACCCTATTATCTAGATTCTTCAAATGTTACATTTTACTATACTTTTTTTATCATTTTATCGCTCTAGTTTTTTTCAGAAATAAATGAGAGTAAGCCCTCATGCAAACATAAGCTCTCTTTACTTCTAAATTTTTCAGTGTATACATCTGAAAAGCAGAGATATCTTCTTATATAAGCACAGTGCAATTATCAAAAAGAGAAAATTAACATTGATGCAATAGTTAAGACTTCATTCAGATTTCATCAATTATCTCACCAATGTCTTTTTCTGTTCCAGGACAATCTAGGATTCTTCATTTAATTCAGTTGTTATGTCATTTTATTCTCCTTTAAACGTTAACAGATTCTTAGTCTTCGTCTTTCATAACCATTATCTTTTGGAAGCTCACAGGTCAGTAATTTTGTGGCCTCTCCCAGCAGTAGTTCTGTATGTTAATGGGTGCACAGAAGATTTTCAAAATTTTTACCTCTCTATCATCTTTCTTTTGATTCAGGAATGGATAAATTTCCCTGAGTTTTCTCATTTGTGAGATTAATACTTTGGCTGTGGTTGGGTTTGGTCGGGTTTGGTGGTGGGGGGTGGGCAGTTACATTTTCTTTTCCTTAGACTAGTAATTCTCAATCTGTTGTATGTTGGTATCAACTAGGTAGCCTTCTGTACTGGATGGGTCTTGTTCCATCTACAATTTTGCAGCCCAAGGGGAGAAGAGAATAAAGATCAGTTGAGGTAGCTTTGTACTCTTGGTTGGAATGCTTGGACTTTATCTTCTCTCAGATTTTGTTAAATATACTATACTAGAATTCACTCCATCTACTCAGGTCAGAGGGTATCCTGTACTTTGGATTATTCCTCCAACTGGGTATGCAGCTGTGGAGCCTTCATTTTCTTAAGAAATATCCAGTCAAGCCCAGTCTCTCAATTTCACTTATTTCTTTCCAACTATTGTTTTTATTGCTTTCTGGTAAGAAGAATAAAAAGATGCAGATATCCACTTATTTGCTTTTCCCCAACTTTGGGGGTATTAGTGAAAATCCACAATATAGCATTTCGTTGTTTTATCTATATTATTTAAGGCTTTATTAAGCCTTCCTGTTGCACTCCAGAATCTCGTTTTCTTTAATCAGGGCCAGTTTTCAGTTATTGCACTAGTTTATGCTAATTTCCTTATTTGGTTTCTGTTGATTATTTTTGTTGTTGTTGTTGCAGTTTACATGTTCCATATTGTGAGGTGCAGGGGAAGGGGAAAAATTCTAGGGTGGAATTTCAACCCATTTTAACCTGAAACAGCAGTTATTCATGTATACACCTGTCTTTTTCTAATTGATTATAAACCCCAGAAAAGCAGGTTATTATTTTAGTTGACTTAGGCACTGGCACAGTGTCTGACACATGATAAACACTCAGTAAATGCTTTTTAGAGTGATTTTTTTCAGGTATAATGAGAAAACAGATGGCAGAACACCAAAAAGTTATTAATTTCATCAAAATCCAGACTCTTCACTCACAGTGTGTATTACCATATGCTTAAACGTCAGGTAAACAGTTCATAATTTCATGCATTATCCAATTATTTCTGATCTCAACATTTGCTGAACTAAAATCTTGCATTTTCCCAGCCTCTTTCCAAACTGTTCATTTCTCAGCCCAGTGGATAGAAAGTAGTGTTCAAAGGCTCACTAATTTACCAGGTATCCTTTTTCTTCCACTCGCTTGGTAATTATAGTCACATCCTTTTATTCTTCTCAGAAAGATCTCTTAAAATTCACACCATCACCACCTCCCAAAACAAATCAAAATACCTACAGCAGCCGAAGATTGTAAGAACAGCCAATTCCTTTATTTTTGTAAAGATTTGTTCCTTGACAAGGCAATAAACAAGATCCTGCTCCTCATCTGTACCACAGTGTCTCTTTATGAAGCATTAATTGTTACCATAGGATGATCCACTGTAAAATAACAAAACTACTTGTTCTTTTTCTTTGTAGTTTCGTGGGAATTTAAAAAGGTCTTAAAATTTCATTAATGGACATATAAATGACATGAACCTAGAGTCACACTCACCCCTGATATGAGCATCACACAACGTCTCTGCCATTTGTTATTCAACCCGGATTTGTTATCATCCCACAGCCTCAAACCATTCTGTCATTTGGAAATGTATTTATTGACATCTTTTAAAACCTACTTTTTATTTAGCTCTGAAGTCTATGTTATACTTTCTCTCTGGCAGCTTTTAAAGACATTGCTTTCTTATATGCACTTAAAATCAAAATATTAACTAAGAAGTCTTGTTAAAATTAACTAAATATATAAACATAAGGTCTCTAGAAAAGAAGAGATGAGCCGGGGCAGTGCCCGCACCTATAATCCCAGCTACTTTGGAGGCTGAGACAGGGGAATGTCTAGAGTCCAGGAGTTTGAGAACAGCCTGAGCAACATAGAGAGACCCTATCTCTACAAAAACACTAATACTAATACTAATAATCATAAAATTAAAAAATTTAATTAGGTGGGCACAGTGGCTAATTCCTGTAGTCCCTGCTACTGAGGAGGCCTCAGGCAAGGGGAGCTCTTAAGACCAGGAGTTCAAGGCTGCAGTGAGTTATGACTGCAAAACTGCACTCCAGCCTGGAGGACAGAGGGAGACTCCATATCCTAAAACAAAAAAAGAGAGAGTGAAAGAGATGAATGCAAAACAATTAAAGGTAAGTGTTTTATACTATTTTTAAAATTATAGAGTCAATTAATCCAACTCTTGGCTGTAGAAAATAGTTTCAAGGATGACAAGACAGTAAAGTGGACGACACCCAGTAAACTTACCAGACCATAATAATGATGCACAAATAGATGGACTGCTTTAACTAATTAATTTATATTTCAAAAATGTTGTTTTTATGTTACTGACAGTAGTACTATTCAACAGGTGAAAATGAAGGATTAGATAAAATGAGGGTAGCATATAATAAAATACAAAAAATAGGTTAGCATTTTTTGTGGTAGACAAAATAATGATCTGGCAAAGGTGTCAACACTCTAATCTCTAGAGTGTGTGAATATCTTACTTTATATGGCTGAATAAATTTTGTTGATGTGATTAAATTAAGGATCTTGAGATGAGGAGGTTATTCTGGATTATCTTAGTGTGCTCAGCATAATCAAAAGGGTCCACATAGCAGGGAGGCAAGAGGCTCCAAGTAAGAAAAGTCAATGATGGAAGCAGAGGGTGGAATGATGTAGCCATGAATCAAAGAATGCTGGTAGCCTGCAGAAGCTGGAAGAAGCAAAGAACGAATTCTCCCTAAAACCTCTGGAAAAAACCAGACCTGCCAACCAGTCCTGCCCAAGTCAGTCTGATTTTAAACTTTGACCCCTAAATCTCTAAGATAATAAGTTTGTGTTGTTTTAAGCCACCAAATGTGTGGTAATTTGTTACCACAGCAATAAAAAACTAATGCAGGATTTAAAATTCATTCCATAAGGGCTTATACAGTATCTAGTAAAAAGCTGTAAAGGCTGGATTACAAAGACAAAGGTGGAATGCTTTCTTTGTTGGTTGCTTAAAATATGTGACAAAACTAGTTCTTATTATCATTTTGTAAGGTTTTGGTACTATCCAACTTTTAGAATGGTTTCATATTACTGTTTAAAGTTCTGTGTGTGGCTACACACAAATGTGAAATTCCCCATAGCCCTCTGAAGCATAAATTAATTTTGTTGGTATTTTTAAAAATAACACCTCTAATGTAATTACATCCTATTGGCTTTATAAAATAAGGCCCCATGATTGTGAAAGCAGGGATGTTATTTGAAATGTTAGTCTCTGTGATCAAGATATTTGCTACATCAAGAAAAACCACCAATTCCCAGAGGGTTTTCACACCTGAAAATTAACCCAATTTATTTTGTGAATCTGTGTTATGCAAATTTAAAAAATTAATCACTTAGAGATCTTTTAACAAAGGATTTTCCAAAAGGAATAAAAATTCCCTACACAAATCAGTTCTTTAATTTTCCCTCAATACAAATGCATACATTTAATAGTCTGTTGTGAGACTAGTTATTTAACAAATGCCACACTATAGAATAAATGTTGAATTATTTGCCTGATATGGTAGAATACTCTGGAAAATATATTATAACAGAATTGTCTTTTTTTTTTTCTTAAAGAATATAGATTTTGTGTTTGTAGAGTTATTTGGGTGAATGTCATGGTTAACTGTACGGACTCTGGAGCCAGATTGTTGGATTGAATCCCAGCTCTGCCACTTGTGACCTGAGGTTAATTACTTAATCTCTCTCCGCTTCATTAGGAAAATGGGGAAAATGATAACACCTAGTTTGTTTGATTGTTTTGAAGGTTAAATACGTCAAAGCATTTAAACTACTTATTGATAGAATGAGGCCTTGTACCAACAAGCCCTCATTAAAGTCAGGAAAATAAAATAATAGTTAATCAATCTCATAAATACATATGTAGCTCCCATTATGTAGTCAGCAGATATTTATCAGGGCCTCCTAAATTGTAGGCAGCATCATTCCTTATGAAATGAATCTCCCTCTTAAGCCTAGTGATAGCTTATGGGGAGCTCTAGAAGACCTCTCCAGAGCTAAACATATTTTAAGTATATGCAACATTAGAGTCATCAGAGTTTAACACTAAGAGGTTCAGGGCTAATGGCTGAGAAGAGTATATCATGATCCAAAAACAGCAAGGTTAATCTTAATTCTAATTGTGAGCTCACAAGCCTTAGGATCACAAAATCTTTCTTAGAGAACACATGAGGGAAATTTTTAAAAAGAGAGAAAATGGTGAAAAGCTTGGTTAAAAAACAAATTGAGGAGGGTATAGAAAAAGGGATAGAATTATAACATTATATTCTGAATTTTCAGTGTAGGGGTAGTTGATGATTGAGCAGAATGTTAAGCAGTCAGAGCAAAGGAAACGAAAAAGCCAAAAGTCAACTTTCCAGCCCTATTCACTTGTATGGGGTACAGCATGTTTGACAAGAACATTAATTAAACATATGCTTAATTAATAACCACCCAGAGGTACCTTGACCGTTGTAGTGGAGAGGGTTGAAGTCAGGCAGGCATTAGCTAGCTGACTAGCAGAGATAGAAGAGATAACAGTTGTGCCAAGGAAGGCTTTCTCTGCCTGAGTCTGTTGTCTAATTGACTCAGAGTCTAATAGCTTGAGGCCTTATTGGGTTGGAAAAGCCAACTGCCTTAACAGGAGACAATTGTCACTTTAAACCAAACAGTTCGAGGTAGCACAGTTTCAAAAATCAGATTAAGACTATTGCCTTCTTATTTAAGGTTTTTTTTTTTTTAATTCGTGTGTGTGTGTGTGTGTGTGTGTGTGTGTGTGTGTGTGTGTGTGTGATCCAGTAGCTGCATTTAAAATGAGACAGGGAAATGAGCTGAGCTGATTTTGTGGAGTTCATTTAATAAATGTGAGTTGAAAGGCTTAAAAATCTGTCTAGATTGAATCTTTGGTTTGGGGCACTAATATGAAATTTACTAGAAGCAAAGAGGTTCTGAAGCGATTGCACTTTCAAAAGCAGCACAGCCTGGCCTACCAAAACCTGTGTGTGTGTGTGTGTGTGGTGTTTTGTTTTGTTTGTTTGTTTGTTTACCTTTAAATAAGTCCTAAAGCAAATCCTTATTCTCCAAAACCTTACCAGCAGAAAATGGCCATTCCAAAATCCTAGAGAATCATAGAACAAGAAGAAAAAGAGAACCTGGGTCCCTGGATGACATGGAGAGAAAATGCTTACATGTTCTGCAGGCAAGTAAGAGAGAAATAAATTTCAAACTTGTGTGTGACTCACTGTATTGGTCTCTCTCTCTCTCTCCCTCCCTCCCTCCCTCCCTCTCTCTCTCTCTCTCTTTCTTTCTTCTTGATGGAGTCTGGCTCTGTCACCCAGGCTGGAGTGCAGTGGTGCAATCAAGGCTCACTGCAAGCTCCGCCCCCCGGGTTCGCGCCATTCTCCCGGCTCAGCCTCCCGAGCCAGCGCCCGCCACCCGCCTGGCTAATTTTTTCTATTTTTAGTAGAGACGGCGTTTCACTGTGTTAGCCAGGATGGTCTCGATTTGGCCTGGAGTTTTCTTTTTTGAAAGGTTTTTAATCATTAATTCAATTGTTGTAGTAATTACAGTACCTTTTGTACTGTCTGTTTCACCTTGGATGATGTTAGCAGGTTTTGACTTGTGAAGAATTAGTCCATTTCATGCAAATTTATATGCATAAGTTGTTTGGAATATTCCCTCAATATTCTTTAATGTGCTGGGGGTAGGTGGTGATATTCCCTCTTTTACTTCTTTTCTTTTTCGCTTTTTGTTTGTATGTTTGTTTGTTTGTTTTCTTTTTGAGATGGGGTCTCACTCTGTTTCCCAGGCTAGAATGCAGTGGTGCAATCATGGCTCACTGCAGCCTTAACCTCTTGGGCTCAAGTGATCCTCCCACCTCAGTCTCCTAAGCAGCTGGGACTACAGTCGTGCATCATCATGCCCAGATAATTTTATTTTATTATTATTTTTTTTTGAGACAAAGTCTCTTTCTGTCCAAGCTAGAGTGCAGTGGCGCGATCTGGGCTCACGGCAAGCTCCGCCTCTCGGGTTCATACCATTCTCCTGCCTCAGCCTCCGGAGTAGCTGGGACTACAGGCGTCCGCCACCACGCCCGGCTAAATTTTTGTATTTTTAGTAGAGACGGGGTTTCACCATGTTAGCCAGGATGATCTCCATCGCCTGACCTTGTGATCCTCCTGCCTCAGCCTCCCAAAGTGCTGGGATTACAGGAGTGAGCCACCACACCCGGCCCTTTTTTTTTTTTTTTTTTTTTTTGTGGAGACTGGGTCTCATGATATTGCTGGGGGTGGTCTCAAACTCCTGGGATCAAGGGGTCCTCCAGCCTTGGCCTCCCAAAGTGCTGGGATTACAGGTGTGAGCCACTGCAACTGGCCATTGACCTCTTTTATTTCTGATGTTGTCATTTGTATCTTCTCCTTTTTTATTATTCTGCAGTTTTGATGAAGTTGTATCAATTTTATTGACTTTCCAATGACTATATTTTTACTTTCTATATTTTTACTGATTTAAATTGTATTTCTATTCTTTATTATCTGCTTCCTTTTGCTAAATTGGTTTTATTTTGTTGTTGTTGTTTGTCTTCTTTCCAGTTTCTTAATGTGGAAATCTATACTACTGATTTGAGATTTTGTTTTAGGATTAAGTACTGAATGCTATAAATTTCCCCCTAAACACTGATTTGGCTGCATCCAACAAGTTTTAATATATCGTATTTTCATTTTCACTTAGTCCAAATTTTTTTCTTGAGACTTTTTGACCTTGAATTACTTAGAAATATAGGTAATATTTATTAATCTATCTTCAAATTCACTAGCCCCACTGTTATTTCCATTCTGCTGTTGAGCTTTTAATTTTCAGTTATATTTTAGATCTAAATTTTTCATTGAGTTTTTCTTTATATCTTCTATTTATCTGTTGAGACTTTCTACCTATCCACTTATTTCAAGAGTGCTCACTATTATTTGCTGCAACATTTTGATAATAGGTCCTTTACATCTTTTGTCAAGTAATTTCAATATCTGTTTTGTGTTAGAGTTGGCATCTGTTTATAGTCTTTTTTGTTGTGAGCTAAGATATTCCTGATTCTTCAAATGCTCACTAACTTTGTATTCTATCTTAGACATTTTCTTTTTTTTTTCTTTTTTTTTTTAAGATGGAGTCCCACTCTGTCCCCCAGGCTGGAGTGAGTGGCGCAATCTCGGCTCACTGCAAGTTCTGCCTCCCGGGTTCCCGCCATTCTCCTGCCTCAGCCTCCCGAGTAGCTGGGACTACAGGCACCCGCCACCATGCCTGGCTAATTTTTTGTATTTTTTAGTAGAGACAGGGTTTCACCATGTTAGCCAGGATGGTCTTGATCTCCTGACATCGTGATCCACCCGTCTCGGCCTCCCAAGGTGCTGGGATTACAGGCATGAGCCACCGCGCCCAGCTGACATTTTCAGTATTTTGTTTAAGACCTTGCATCTTGTTTAAATCTTGTTAAGTAGGGGAAATGTTGGCATTTTCGTTTGGGTTGGCAATTAACAAGATTATGTTCAGATCCTTCAAGCGTGTGCTGTGATTTTAATATCAGTTCAGTTTTAACGTCATTGTAATGCTATTAAAAACTATCCTGTGTAAATACCACTCAGTTGCCTGTCTGGGACTAACAATACTCTCTCCATGAGATCAGTTCTCAAAGCCTTTGGCATGCTTTTTAGGTCCAGTCATCCCATGTACTTCTCAAGAGTGAGCTCAGGGGATCATAAACAAATTTGTGAAGTTTCTTTCCCGAGCTCCTTCTACTCCATGATCTCTGCTGCACTTTACAGTTCCCTGAAGCTCTCCTTTTTTGTGCTTTGTCCTCAAAGCTGGATGTTCAGTTATATTTTAGGCTGAAGAAATTCTAAGCCAGGGTACAGAGTATAAAAGACACAGGTTACCAAAAAAATTCTCAAGAAATTAACACTTTTAGAATCTGAAAGTTTTCATAATAAGAAAACCCTTTTACTATTCGTTTGAATAGCAAGTATTTCATAATGAGAATACCAGGTTGTGGACATACACACAATTATATGCTAGCCTTTGTAGTCTGCAGTTTTCACATATAAGGAAAAATCTAAAACTTTTTAAATGAGTTGATTGACTTTAAATAAAATTTGGGTATATTTTACATTTGGTGCCTCTAACATTCTTTTCTCCTGTCCATTGTTCTCACCTTCTACCTCTAAAGCCTATTCTTCGCTTCTCTTCTTCTCTCACCTGCAGTTAACTAATTGCTTAAAAAATCAGCAGATTACATTTTAAGATGTTATTTCTCCCAGGAATATTTGCATTTCAATAAGTTTCCCTTGTAGTTGAAATCTTTGAGACCCAAAGGAATAAGTCTTTAATGATGAAAATGAAAGGTCAAGGGGTGAAGCATTTAGTTGCATAAGCCCTTTATGCTCTCCTGTATACCTGCTCGTTTCAGGGAAATCCTTTCATTCATCTCACATGGGAATGAGATAAAAGAGACAAATAAGGAAAAACACAAATACAAGTACAAGTTACTTGCAGTGCTTCTAGATATCTTTCCTAAATGTTATTACTCAAGCAATTTTTTTCCCATATAAGTAGGTGAAAAGGTGAAGCAATTTACATATCATTTTATTACTTCATTAACTATAACTGCAACAGTGTGAACTGTAAAGTAAATGTGAACATTCTGGAAAAGTACTTAACGTATAACAATGCATCTACATGTTTCTATCTACATTTATGATTATTTAATATAATCAACTAATTCTGTTTAATATGAATATATTATACAATTTTCCTATATACAAATTGGCAGATTAAATTTAATTAAGGCTATTTATTGAAAAAAATACAGTACCTTGTAAAACTAGGGCCAAAATTTAATATATACATTTGCCAGTGTGCAATGCATTTTTAAAATCTCATACCACTTTAAATCCCACATAAGTATGTATGTGTGTATATATGTATTTGAATATATAGTTTATTTTATATAAATGTAAAAGATTATACAAATACACTGCAGTACCTCCATTAAAATTAAGATTTTTATCATAATTTCAGCGTATAAAATTGACAAAGGCATAAACATTCACAAAGCAAAAATTTAGAAAAACTCAACCATAGGATGTACTTGGGGTTTTAGTATACCTGAAAATTAGCATGAGCCTTCTAAGTAACTTGACCAGCACACCTATCCAGCATCTCCAACATATAATCATTAAATCACTCCTATCAATAATCCTCTCTTTTGCATCATTAGGCTTTCTTTTGTTGTTATCCTCATTCCCATGCTCTAATTATACTCATAAAGAGCTAATTTCATTGGAGTGGTATCCTTAGCTGCTTGCTACCTGTTGACCTAAAGGAAAAAACTGAAGCAAACTTAAAAAATTAGAATTTATTTGGGCCATGTTTGAGATTTACAACCAAGAAGCAAAGATTCAAGTGGCCTGATAAGCAGAAGTTACAAGTAAATTGTTATTATTTTGTATTTGTTTTTCTATTTTAAAATTTTCATTGATGTTTACTAATACATTTTATTTTATTTTTTATTTTTATATATTTAGGGAGTACAAGTGCAGCTTTCCTACATGCATATACTGCATAGTGGTGAAGTCTGGGCTTTTAGTGTACCCATTGACCAAAGAGTGAACATTGTACCCAATAAGTAGTTTTTCAACTCTCACTCCCATCTCACCCTATTTGTAGTTTCCAGTGTCTATTACTTCACTCTGTATGTGCATGCCTACCCATTGTTTAGTTCCCACTTATAAGTAAGAACGTGAGGTATTTGACTTTCTCTTTCTGAGTTATTTCACTTAGGATAATGGCCTGCATTTCTCTCCATGTAGCTGCAAAATATATGATTTCATTCTTTTCTATGGCTGAGTAGTATAAATGGTATAAATACGTATCACATCTTCTTTACCCAATCCTTCATTGATAGACACCAAGGTTGATTCTGTATCTTTGCTATTGTGAATAGTGCTGTGATAAACACATGAATGCAGGTATGTTTTTGATATAATGATTTCTTTCTCTTTGAATATATACCCAGTAGTGAGATTGCTGAATTGATTGGTAATACTGTTTTTCATTTATTAGAGAAATCTCCATAGTGTTTGTAAGGTTCTTGTACTGGTTCAAACCCCGAGAGCACGCCAACAGAAAACATGAGGGGTGTGGAGCAACATGCTGTTTTAATGAGCGCCTGGGTGCAGACAGGCTGAGGCCTAAAATGGCGTCAGCACCAAATGAGGACAGGGCACGGATTTTATGGTCTCCTGTAAACAGGAAATGTCCCAGTCTGACGTGACTGCTACATAGTACCCAGACGGCCTCTGTCTCAATCTTCAGGGATACGTGTCTTCTGGCCAGGGTAGGTGGCTTCCGGCTTTCTCGATCTTCAGGGATACTTGTCTTCCGGCCAGGGTAGGTGTCTTCCGGCCGGCTCTCTTCCTGCTTCTGCTATCTTGCTGGCACACACTGCTGGCACAAGTAGCATTGCACCTTGGGACTGGGCCTGAGAAGGGAGGAGTTACTCATCCCTTCAAGCTTTCAGGCCCTGGGGAGAATCTTCCATTCCTGTCTATTTGGTTATAGAAAAAAGGGAAAAGGGGCGACTTTCTCAATAACTACTTCAGGCCCGACATAGGGGGTGGCACCTTGGAAAAAGAAAACCTTAATTTTGGGGGATATTCTTGAGAGATGGGTTGGTATCCATGGTGTCATTGTAGCAGGAGCATCGTCTGGATTGTCTGGCAGCTAACTGTAGTTTCAACAAGAGTTTTAATGGCTTTTATTATTAGTGGAATAATATAGGGGAGAAACAGGAGGAACCCAATGATGAAGATTACCGTCCCTACCAGCGTTTTAAATTCTCCTAAATTAAAAAACCACCATCCTAGAAGGTTTGTTGGGTCCCATCCCTTCCAGGTTTGGACTGGTATATGGGCTACTTTTCTGATGTTTGAAGCGATTTCTAGTACTGCTTCTCCGTTATTGTCTATGTTAAGACAACAATTGGAGATATTAAACTTGCCACAGGCCCCACCCTCTTCTGCTAATAAGCAGTCTAGTGCTAGCCTGTTTTGATAAACTGCTGCACGCATTTGGTTTTGTTGTTGTGTGAGCATTTCCAGGGCTAAGGTGGTTTGGTTAGTGATTATCTCTGGAACAGCCTGTAGTCTAATTATTCTATTTAGCATATATATAGAAGGGTGACAACCCCATGAACCATCCTCAGCCCAAGTGACAGGACCATAATATTCGATGATCTGTTGCAGAGGCCATTCATCCTCTTGCCATCTTTGGCTTCCTCCTACCTTTAAGGATCATTTTTCTTTGTTTAGGTTATTATATACAGGGACTCCGAGGGTGTTGCCTGCTGTTAATGTTTTGGAGGAAGTAGTAGCCTTGGGGCTACCAGGTGGGGAGTCCTTGGACTCTCATTGCAGTTGGCATGCTGAGTATCACAGTGTCAGGGCCTGTCCACTTCGGTTGTAGCTTTTGGTGAGGGTCGGATTGGCAGATAAACATGTCTGTGCCTGCAAGACAGTTATGTTGAGAGGACAAGGAGGTGTCAACAGGGAGAGGCACGGCCTCTTTTGCTGCTTCACGAACGAAAGACCATGTCTGGATTAAGGAGGGGAGGTAATTCCCGAGTGGCTCAGAGTCTGGTAAGGGTGGAGGCCCTAAGACAAAAGTTCAGCCATGCATGATTTTAAAGGGACTATAAAAAGAGGGTGCTTTTGGTGTTGCGCAGAGTCTTATGAGGGCGAAAAGGAGATGTTTTGTCCATGACTGGCGGGTTTCTAGAGTCAGCTTGGTGAGTTGCGCTTTAAGGACAGAGTTAATTTTTTTCAACTTTGCCTGAAGATTGAGGCCTGTAGGGTGTGCGGAGAACCCACTTTATTCCTAAGGATGTAGAGATGTCTTGGGTAATTTGGCTGATGAAGGTGGGCCCGTTATTGGACTGGATGGATGTTGGGAGTCCAAAACAGGGAATTATATACATGACGAGGGTTTGTGTGAGGACATTTGCACCTTCTGAAGTTGCTGGGAACGCTTCTACCCACCCGAAGAAAGTACAGACAAAGACTAGAAGATAGCAGAGCCGTTTATCGGGCAGCATGTGAGTGAAATCTACTTGCCAATCTTGCCCGGGTACCTGGCCCCAGGCTTGGTGGGTAGGAAAAAGGCAGTAGCCAGAGGGAGCCCTGGGGTGACACTGAGTGGCAGATAGAGCAGAACTGGGTAATTTCTCGAACACGGCTGGAAAGGTGAGCACAAGTGAGAATAGCGCAGAGAAGTTGCAGGAGAGGTTTGTAACCAACATGGAAAGAGTTGTGGAGGCTTTGGAGGATAGAGATTATTTGAGAGTGAAGAAGAACGAAGCACCCTTCCTTGACATACCATGGTCCCTGCCTTTGAAGGTTTTGGGCTCGGAAGTCCTCCTTTTCTTCTGAGAAGTAAAGTGGAGAGAACAAGGACAGAGACAGAAACTGGCCTTGCACGGGTTGTAGGGCTACTTGTTTGGCTACCTGATCTGCTAGTGCATTTCCAGTTGATATAGGATTGTCTGGGGATTGGTGGCCCGTGCAATGAATGATGGCAACTTTCTGTGGGAGCCTGGCAGTTTGAAGGAGCTTGCTGATGAGAGAGCCATTTACGACAGGAGTGTTTTTTGCAGTTAGGAAACCCCGTTCTTTCCAGATGGATGAGTGTGAGTGCAATATGTGGAACACATAATGAGAATTTGAATATATGTTGATCTGTTGTCTGGCTGCTAGAGCAAGAGCACAAGTGAGGGCAGTGAGTTCAGCATTTTGGGAGGTGGTGCCTAGGAGGAGCAGATTGGCTTCAGTAGTGTGAGGGAGTGACACTATAGCATAGCCAGCCTGTCAGCATCCTTGATGTCGGATGGAGCTGCCATATACAAACCAAGTAAAGGAGATATCTGGAAGGTTAGGTTTGGAAAAGGCATAAGAAAGATTTGAACAGTGTTCACACAGAAGTGTGTAGGGTCTTGGGTGGTTGTAGCTTCAGGTAAGAGCATGGCTGGGTTTAGACAGGAGCTGGTTAGCATGGTGATGTGGGGAGTTTCTATGAATAGAGCATACAGCTGCAGGAGCCGTGGGGCAGAGATGAGACTTAGTACACTGTGGTGAGCTAGCATGTCGTTGATGTTATGGGTTGAATAAACTGTTAGGTTGGCATGGAGAGATAGTTTTAGGCTTTCAAGGGTGAGGACAGCGGCTGCCACCAATGCTCAGAGGCAGGTAGGCCATCCAAGAACTGTGGCTTCAAGCTGTTTAGAGAGTAGGCAACAACCCAGAGGGTGGGGGCTGTCTCTGAAACCTTGAGGTAGTACGCACCAGGTGAGCTAACATGAAAGGTGGGTGTCAGAGTTTTCCCACGTAAAGGCAAAGAGGTTTTGGGAATCAGGGTGTAAAGGAATTGTGAAAAAAAGCATCCTTTAGGTTTAGAACAGAAAAATGGGTGGTATTGGAGGGAATTGCAGAAAGGAAAGTATATGGGTTAGGAACCACTGACATGCTGAGAATACAGCTTGGTTAATGAGCCTGAGGTCCTGGACTAATTAACCCTTAGACTGGGTTAGAACACCTAGTGCAACTCCATGCCATTTGTAGGTATAGAGGGAGAAAGGTTTGGTGAGGTCTGGGAGAGTGAGGATGGGCGCTGAGATGAGAGCCTTTTGGAGTAGATGGAAAGGTTGGGTAATAGGCTGTGCAGGTTTTAAAGGCTCATGGAGAGGGCCTTTAGCAGCTTAGTACAATGGTTTGGCAAGTAGAGCAAAGGAGGGAACCCAGAACTTAAAATATCCTGCTAGTCCTAGAAAAGAGAGAATTTCTTGTTTAGTTTGCGGAGGCAAGAGGGACTGGAGGAGGGATATGTGGTTGGTTGTGAGCCCTCGGGTTTGCGGGGTAAGAGCTAGGCCTAGATAGGTGACTGAGGGAGTGAATATTTGTGCTTTCTTAGGGGATACCCAATACCCCTGTTCTGCCAAGAAGTTTAAAAGAGAGATAGTATGGGTGTGGCAGTCTCTTTGAGAGGGGCTACACAGAAGCAGATCATCAACATATTGAAGGAGAGTGGACAGTTCTAGGGATAAGATACAGAGATTGTGAGCAAGGGCCTTTCCAAAAAGGTGGGGGCTGTCTCTGAAACCTTGAGGTAGTACGCACCAGGTGAGCTAATGTGAAAAGTGGGTGTCAGGGTTTTCCCACATAAAAGCAAAGAGGTTTTGGGAATCAGTGTGTAAAGGAATTGTGAAAAAAAAGCATCCTTTAGGTTTAGAACAAAAAAATGGGTGGTATTGGAGGGAATTGCAGAAAGGAAAGTATATGGGTTAGGAACCACTGACATACTGGGAATACAGCTTGGTTAATGAGCCTGAGGTCCTGGACTAATTAAGTTCCATCTGGCTTTTTAACAGGTAGAACTGGTGTGTTAAAAGGGGAGTTTGTTGGGCAGAGTAGGTGACTGGCAAGGAGGTGAAAAATGATAGGCTTTAGGTCTGTGAGAGCAGCTTGGGGGATGGGATACTGCTTCTGTGATAGGAACTAGGTGGGCTCTCTAAGGTTAATGCAGACGGGGGTGTGGTGTTCTGCAACTGAGGGTGTGGAAGTATTCTAAACAGCAGGATTAACTACGGATGGGGGATAAGGAAAAGTTGCATGTTTTAAGGTGGGAGGTTGGAGGAGTAGAAGAAAGTTAGATGCCCCGGAGGGGTCTGGGTTGATGCATAGGGTACTATGGGGAAAATGGAAGTGGAGAATAGTGTGGAGTTTTGAAAGGATGTCTCTTCCTAGGAGTGGAGTTGGGCATGAGGGCAGGACTAAGAAAGAGTGAGTGAAGGAAAAGGTGTGAAGGGAACAGAAAAGTGGAGGGGTGGCTTGGGGTTTGGAGACTTGTCCATCAATTCCCACAACAGAGACTTGGGAGGACTGGGTGGGTCCTAAAAAATTAGGTAAAGTAGAGTAGTTTGCCCCCGTATTAATGAAAAAACATACTGGCCTACCTACCACCATCAGAGTTACCCTTGGCTCGAATGAAGAGATGGTAGTTTCTGGGGCATCCGTTCCAGGGCACCATCAGTCTTCAGCAGCAAGGCCAATGAGATCTGAGTAGGAGGTTTTGGCTGGCTCAGGAAGGGATGGGGGCAGTCCTTGAGGAGGCCACTCACAGTCTGACTTCCAGTGGGGTCCTCCACAGAGGGGGCATGGCCTGATGGGATCACCTGGGTTTGGGCATTGTCTGGACCAGTGGCCTTCATTGCCACACTTGAATCCAGCGTCAGGTGAAGGTGGATTGCTAGGAGGCTTCTGTGGGGAGCTGCTGCCCCATGGGCCTGCAGGGCCCCTGATGGCGGAGGTAAGCATTTGAAACTCTGCCTGTTTTTGCCTTTTACTTTCCTCATCACAAGTGTTAAAGACTTTGAAGGCTAAATTAAGAAGGTCTCGTTGTGGGGTTTGAGGGCCGTCGTCAAGCCTCTGAAGCTTGCGCCGGATATCGGGGGTGGATTGGGAGATGAACCAAAGGTTTAGGATAGTGGTTCCTTCTGGGCTGGCTGGGTCTAGGTTGGTATACTTTCTTATGACTTCAGTTAAATGAGAGAGAAAAAGGGCTGGGTTTTCGTCAGGACCTTGGGTGATTTCTGAAAGTTTTTCATAGTTTACTGCTTTATGGGCACCCTTTTTGAGTCCTGCAAGGAGACACACAATCATGTGGTCTCGAGGCAGCATCCTGAGGCCCCGTCTTGATAATCCCAGTGGGGGTCCTGGTTGGGGACCGCCTCTGCACCAGTAGTCCGGGCAAGAGCTTGGTGATGAATTGTATCAGCATGCGCCTGAGCTAGAGTCCAGATACGGTCCTGGTCTTCCGGGTTTTGGGTGGAAGAGAGTATAACGTAGAGGTCATGCCAGGTTAGTTCATAAGACTGGGTAAAGTATTGAAATCCCTAATATAAGAGGTAGGGTCTTCTGGGAATAAACCGAGTCTTCTGTTAATTTGAGAGGTAAGTGAGGGAGAAGGGAACATGAACTCTAACAATACCTTCAGCTCCTGCTACTTCCTAAAGGGGGCACTCTAGCACCAGCGCTGAAGTAAGGGTGGGGCATAGACCAAAGATGGCGCCTGAGAGAGTATGAGTGGGAGAGAAGGAAGAAGCTAGAAGTGGTTCCTGCTGAGGGTTTGAATGGGGGAAAAGGGGTTGAATTAACAGGCAGTGGAGGATAGATAGGTGCGTAAGGTGGTGGGAAGGGTTTACAAGCCTCAGGAGAGGGCAATAGGGGAGGAAAATGGGTACAGGCAATACTAGAATTGTCCTGAGGAGAGGGCAGTGTAGGAAAAGAGGTGGATACTGCTGACTGAGAAGACCGCGGCTGGAAAGATGGCAGCTGAGAAGATAAAGAGGAAGCTTGCGGGGTTAAAGAAGACAGTTGAGAGGGAGATGTAGGGGCTGGGAGGGGTGGACAGCAGTCTGCTGGATCCAAGGAGGATAAAGAGGTAGGGTTGGGAGGAGAAAGGCGATCAGGGCAGCGAGAATGGAGGGGAATGATTAGAACAGGTGAGCAAGAATTGCAGAGGTCAGGCTGTGATCTGAGTGCAAAAAGGCCTGGACATAAGGAATTTCTCCCTATTTCTCCATTCGTTGGCAATAATTTCGTAAATCAGTTAAAATTGTAAAGTCGAATGTTCCATTTGTGAGCCATTTGGACCCATTATCCAATTCGTATTGTGGCCAGACTGAATTGCAAAAACAGACAAAGCACTTAGGGTGGATATCTTGCCTGAGGCCTAAGGTTTGCAGGTTTTTATGAGGCAGCCTAGAAGACCGTCCTTTAGAATGGAAGACTGGGAATTTCCCGTAACAGAGGGTAGGCTCAAGAGAACAGGTTAAAGGAGACAGTCCTGGATGCCGGAGGGAGACGATAAAAGGAGTGACTGTCACAGCTGTCTTTTTCGTTCCCGGAAAGGGATCAATGGCTTAGAGGTGTTCCCCTAAGACCAAATGACTAGTGAGTGCCTGGTACATGCCGGGGCCTTCTTGGACCAACATTGGATTTTCGGACCGGAGAAACCAAGAGAGGCCATGTGGATTTTTCCCTGTTAATGGGGTTCCTGGGAAACTTATCAGTAGGCGAGATCAGTGACCTATGTGCATGCACGAAAAGGCGACTGGAGGCTGAGGAGCTTCCTTTGTCTTGCCGCTGTGGCCTGCTCTCCAGGATGGAGGGGTAGGTCCACAGGGGACGCAGACCTGAGCCCCTCCCAGGTTTCAGCACCAGATGTAAGGTTCTTGTATCAGTTCAAACACCGAGAGCGCGCCAACAGACAACACGAGGCGGTGTGGAGCAACATGTTTTTGTTTGTTTGTTTGTTTGTTTGTTTTTGAGACGGAGTCTTACTCTGTCTCCCAGGCTGGAGTGCAGTGGCACGATCTCAGCTCACTGCAACCTCCGCCTCCCGGATTCAGGTGATTCTCCTGCCTCAGCCTCCTGAGTAGCTGGGACTACAGGCGCTTGCCACCACGCCTGGCTATTTTTGGTATTTTTAGTAGAGATGGGGTTTCACCATGTTAGCCGGGATGGTCTCAATCTCCTGACCTCATGATCCGCCTGCTTTGGCTTCCCAGAATGCTGGGATTACAGGCGTGAGCCACCGCACCCAGCCCAGCAACGTGTTGTTTTAATGAGCACCTGGCTGCAGGGGGGCTAAGGCCTAAAATGGCATCAGCACCAAATGAGGATGGAGCAGGGGTTTTATGGTCTCCTGTAAACAGGCAGTGTCCCAGTCTGACGCGACTGCTACGTAGTACCTGGACGGCCTCTTTTTCAATCTGCAGGGGTATGTGTCTTCCAGCAAGAGTAGGTGTCTTGCGGCCAGCTCTCTTCCTGCTTCTGCTATCTTGCTGGCATATGCTGCTGGTGCAAGTAGCCTTGCACCTTGAGACTGGGCCTGAGAAGGGAGGAGTTACTCATCCCTTCAAGCTTTCAGGCCCCGGGGAGAATCTTTCAGCATTCTCCATAAACGTTATACTAATTTACATTCCCATCAACACTGTGTAAGCATTCCGTTTTCTCCACATCCTTACCAACATCTGTTATTTTTAGACTTTTTAATGATAGCCATTCTGACTGGTGTAAGATGGCTCAAATTTTGGTTTTAATTTGCATTTCTCTGATGTTTATTGATGTTAAGCACTTTTTCATGTATTTGTTGGCCGATTGTATGTCTCCTAATGAAAAATGTCTGTTTATGTTCTTTGCTTGTTTTTAATGGGGTTATTTGTTCTTTTCCTGTTAAGTTGTTTGACTTCCTTGTGAATTCTGGATATTCGCTTTTGTTGGATGCATCATTTGCAAATATTTTTTCCCATTTTGTAGACTGTTTACTCTGTTGATTATTTCTTATGCTGTGCAGAAGGTTTTAGTTTAATTAAGTCTCATTTGTCTATTTTTGTTGTTTTTACTTTTGAGAATGCAAAAATCCTCAACAAAATATTAGCAAATATAATTCAATAGAACATCAAAAAGATAACACACTATGATCAGCTGGGATTTATCCCAGGGATACAAGGATGGTTCAACATACACAAATCAACAAACGTGACACATAACATAAACAGAATTAAGCGTAAAAACCATATGATCATCTCAACAGATGCAGAAAAAGCATTCAATAAAATTCAGGATTTCTTCATGATAAAAATCCTCAACAAACTAGGCATAGAAGGAGCATACCTCAACATAATAAACACCATGTATGACAAACCCACAGCCAACATTATGCTTAATGGAAAAAGCTGAAAGCATTCCCTCTAAGAATTAGAACAAGACAAGGATGCCTATTTTCACCATTCTTATTCAACATAGTTCTAGGAGTCCTGACCAGAGAAATCAAGCAAAAGAAAAAAAGAAACATCCAAATTGGACAAAGAAAGTCAAATTTTCTCTGTTCGCTGACAGTATGATCCTATATCTAGAAAACCCTAAAAACTCCACCAAAAAAACTCTCAGATTTGATTAATGAATTCAGTAAAGTTTCATGATATAAAATTAACATACAGAAATCAGTAGCATTTTTATACACCAATAATAATCTAGCTGAGGACCAAATCAAGAAGGCAATTTACAAAGCTACCAAAAAAGTAAAATGCCTAGGAATATATTTAACCAACAAGGTGAAAGATCTCTATAAGAACTATAAAATACTGAAGAAATCATAGATGACACAAACAAACAAACAAAAAAATCCCATGCTCATGATTGGAAGAATCAATATCATTAAAATGACCATACTGCCCAAAGCAATCTAAGATTCAATGCAATCTCTGTAAAATTACCAATGTCATTTTTTACACAATTAGAAAAAGCATTGCTAAAATTCATATAGAACCAAAAAGAGCCTAATAGCCAAAGCAATTCTCTGCAAAAAGAACAAAGCTGGAGGCATCACATTACCTGACTTCAAATTATATTACAAGGCTACAGTAACCCAAACAAGATGATACTAATATAAAAGTAGACACATAGGTGAACAGAACAGAATAGAGAACCCAGACATAAAGCCACACACCTACAACCAACTGATCTTTAACAAAGTCAATAACAATATACACTGGGGAAGTGGCAGTGTATATTCAATAAATGGTGCTGGGAAAATTGGATAGCCACATGCAGAAGAATGAAACTGACACACACCTCTCACAATACATAAAAATTAACTCGAGATGGATTAAAGACCTAAATGTAAAATCTGAAACTATAAAAATCCTAGAAGAAAACCTGAGAAAAACTCTTTTGGACACTGGCCTAGACAAGTGGATTTTTAAAGGAAAAGAAGGGGCAGTTCCTACGTTGTTTACTAAGAATTTACATCAAAACAACAAGCTATTGATTGGCTATACATTATTCTTTGTATCACAAATTCTGGAAACATAAGATAATGGCTGAGGCAACTAGTCAGGAATGAAATGTTTTTAAACAATTGTCCCCAGGCATGGGTGTAGAGGGCATAACTAAAGTCCCATACTCATGTTTCTCTGGGCCTGATAAATTTTGTGTATCTCACATAATTCTTGGATTGTTCTGAGCTAGTTTTCTTTTTCATGTCCCTCTGTTGGTTAAAAATCTTCCCATAGAAGCATTGATGATCGCCCTCTGCTGAGATTAGAGTAATAGATACTTTTGCCAGGCGCAGTGGCTCACGCCTATAATCCCAGCACTTTGGGAAGCCGAGGTGGGCAGATCACAAGGTCAAGAGATCAAGACCATCCTGGCTAACACAGTGAAACCCCATCTCTACTAAAAATACAAAAAAATTAGCCGGGCGTGGTGGCAGGCGCCTGTAGTCCCAGCTACTAGGGAGGCTGAGGCAGGAGAATGGTGTGAACCCGGGAGGCGGAGCTTGCAGTGAGCTGAGATAGGGCCACTGCACTCCAGCCTGGGCGACAGAGCGAGACTCCGTCTCAAAAAAAGAAAAAAAAAAATAGATACTTTTTGTCCCTCAGTTCTGGGGAGACTCATTCCTTAATAGTCCACAGTCACTGAATTTTTTAACAGTTGTCATTTTTTTAATCATCTCTAGTCTTCAAAATTTCATAATTTTTGTTTTATTGGAAGAAATAAAACAATGAGAGATAAAAACCTATTCCTTTGAGAAGTCAACTAAAAACTATAATTACACTGAGGCACTTCTTTACAGACTTGCTATGGCAGGAAATAATTCAGGATTCAGTCCAAATTGTAAGAAAATAATGAAAACTCAAAAACAATGGTCAGGGGTAGAATTTAACAACAGGTGTACTATAGTTGTCTTCTGAAACCTACTTTTCTTCTGTCTCACATTTCCCTTTTCTACCAAAAGAGAAATCAGAATAAGACCAATTTATCAGTGAAATAAGTTCTAGACTTTTATGATACTTAGTCTGATTATTTGCATGAAGTTCAACAAAAATAGTGATTGCCCATATAGGCTCCTTTTAAATTGGCTTTGCTAGAACTTTTTCATAAGGAATCTCAGATTAGACTTTTTTAAGCCTTTTGAAACTAATAAGCCAAGGCAACAATTCACCAGACTGTTCCTGTAATACCTGTACAGAAGTAGAAGAGGATATTAATGCTTCTTTTGGATTTATTTACACTTCTGATTCTGAATCTCTTTATACAAGCACACTCATTTGAAGAGAAAATAATTTGTTTCTGTGTCACTCTGCAACTAGAACCTAAGTCCTTAATTGGCTGAAACTGTGCATACACTGGGCTAGAGAAATGGACTTGTGAGAATGTAAGTCCAGTGCATAATATTGAACCCCAACAAACTGGAATTATTTAGGTATTTATCCAACATTTATTTAGAGATAATACTGAGCACAATGAGAGAGAGGGATATAGAGGAAAGAGCACTTTCTTCGTGTTACCAGGAAGTGAAGGATCCTAGATTCTTGTCTTCTTGAAGGAAATAATTCAGCCAAGAGACCAATTAGTAAAGGAGCCAAAAAGGTTTATTAAGGAAATAAAGGTACACTCCAAGAGAGGAGCAGGCTCACGTGGCTAGGAACAGTCCTGAGAGTTCTGTGTTGAAGTTTTTATTATGTCAGACTTTTTCTTTAAGTTCCCACCTCTATCTTAAGTCTCTGCCTTTTTCTTGTTTCCTGCTTCTGTCTTAAGTCTCCGCCTTTGTTATCCCCAAGTTCCTGCCCAGGTTTGTTGGATTCTCCCTTGCTGTCAGTAGATGTGCATATGTGGGGCCTGATGATCAATATGAATCATACCTAATGGTAGTGTTGCTAATTACTGCCACCCCAGGAAGGTCATATAGTGGTCAAATCTGTACTTATTGTGCCTGCACGTCTTTCAGGAATTTTCCTTTTGTCCCTTGTCCCTTCTTATCAGCATGTAGCTAGCTATATTCTGACCAGCTCAATCATAGAATGAGTAATTACTGGGTGTCTTAAGGGGTGTTCTGTTCTGCCATAGGTATTTCCCTTCCTCTCTGCTCAGTTAGCATGCATGTTTGGGGTGGTCTCTGGGATGCAAGACTTTCTAGAGCTTCCTCCCCTGGGAGCTCGCTTTCCTGCTCATGTCTGTCTGCCTACTCTAACAGTAATGTTTAGTTTGTCTTCTATTTCCCTGAAAAATTCATCTTTGATGAAAAAGTCTCAAACCATCATTCATTAAAGAAAATAAAAACTTTTTGGCTAACCAGGCCCACCTTCCTTAGAGGCAGTGTATTGATTATTTATTGCCACTCAAGCCCACCTCTTGCAATCTTACCTTCAGCTCCAAGTGGCTCATCAAAATATTTTCATATGTTCATATTCTACCTGTACCAGACCAGGTCCACAAATATACTTTTGCTCATTTTATAATATTTCTAGTGCTTTAAAAGTGTTTCCATCCTTGCTGCACCTCTGGAAGTTGCCCAGCAACATTTTTTATAGTGTCCATTCAGATTGATACTTCTCCTGCCTTCTCTGTTAAAGTCCCTCTGTTGTATTATTTGGGGAATACACCTTCAACCATCCCCTTCCACATACATGTATGTTAAACATACATAGTAATCCACAAAGTATCAATTTAATTTATGAAATACAGTTTTCTATGTAGCATCTTTTATTCAGGTCTGTGATTTAGGAGACACAAAATAAACATAAAGACTGATTATTGCCTTTACTACAAAGTCCATTATGCACTCTTCTAAAAGGTACTTATATTGGGAAAATGTAATTTTCAAAAGTAACAGTGAATATGTTTTAAATCCACCATGTGCTAGAATATGTCTTAAACTTCTGAGTCTTGGAAGAACTGTGAGTTTTATTCCTAGCTGTACATAGGAAACAGAGAAGATGAGGGGAAATGAAATGGCCTACATATGTAACAAAAAACTACATAACCAACATTTTTTGTTAGTCCATCTTTGGCATATTTACATAAGGAGAAAAAACAAAACAAAATAAAAACATTTGAAATAGCACAAAGACCCTTGTCTTATTAGCTTTTCAGAAGCTTGTTTGCATAGATGTCATGGTGCTCTGTTTGGAATACAGCCCCAAACCATCACATTCCATTATAATTAACTGGGCAGCATGTGACTGTTCTACTGATGGGCTGATTTTGAGATGGAAATTTTGGAGGAATCCCATCAAATGCTGGAGAATGCATACACATTTGGTATAAAGGAATTATAATTAAACTTCAGTCATCCTCTCCTACAGAGAACATTGAATTCGAGTCAAAATTGGCTTCTATTATGTTTAAGTCTATCACAGGCACTGGGGGAAGATCATTAAGACACTAGAGCAATGTGAAATCTGTGGGCAAACGTTCTACTTATTACAATGTGTGGGTGAATTCAAAGCTGTCCCCAGGATGAATGCAAATATAGTCTATTGTGATTCTCACCAGTATTAACTGTGCCACTAGAGTAAGGCCTCAGGTCATATAAAGAAACTCCACAGAGTGCCCAGCTCTCTCTCTAAAAGCGCCTACAGAGAATCAAGAAAAATAAGGAGTCATTTTGGATATGAACTTAATCTTCCTCTACTTTTCTCCCTTCCCCACACTTAGAATCAGATTCATTTATCAAAGTTTCCCCATATCCATATAAGAAGCCACTCCCTTCCTGTCTTCTTTTAAGCAAAATTGCTTGTGGAAGAGGAAGAAAGCCACCTTTCTTTTGATGGCTTAGGAAGGATGAGTCTACCTTCCTATTACTATGATTCATTCTTGTCAAGCACCATTAGAAGAGCAAAAGGATAAGTTTGACTCTTCCCCTTTCCACAAATAACATTTACTCTATTTTTTGTGACTTTTATTTTTCTCCAAGGATTATAATTGTTGTTGCTCAGAAAAATTGAAGAAGCCTCAAGGTCCCCTTGGCATGTTCCCACTCCCTACTGTTTCTCCCAAAGCACAGGGTAAAGTTGTCTGAAGTTCCCCTATCTGCCTTAAGTCTCTGCCCACCAAGGACAACAATTTTTTTTCCTCCTCCCTATAATCTCATTATCTATGGCAGAGACAAGACAAAGAATGTAATCATATCTGACCCAACTCTTACAAGATAATGCCTCACAAGCTTATTCAGATTCCAAAGAGAACTGTTTATCATTTAACCTCTGTTCTCTATCCATTCATTCTTCCTAATAATCATTTATTGCCCCTCAAGAGAATTCCTCTTCTCCCACTTCCCATAACTGGTTTTGTGAGAATCTAAGCCCTTATTCTTTCTGTAACCTCAAGATGGCATATAAGCTTCTGTATCTCCTTGGGAAGTTGACTCTTCATTCTGAAACCTCTTGTGTATACACAGTAAGTTTTTATGCCTTTTCTTTAATTAATCAGTCTTTGGTTAGTTGATTTTTCAGGGAAACTTTACAGGGCCAAAGGCCTTGGTTCCTACACAATGTCTATTTTAGCATGACATATTCTGTATACACCAATTAAACTAGCTTAGAAGTACTATAAAGAATTGATACAGTCTCCCGTATCAATGAGATAAAGCAAAGACCCCTCTTAGGGGCCTGCTGGGACCTCTCCCCAAGCATAAAATTTTAAAAATACATATCTCTAGTCCCTTTGAAACAATTCTAGGCACCTAGTTAGCAAAAATAAATGAACAACCTGATAACCAAGAAGATGGCAATAACTTCAACAATAGCCTCCCAAGCAAGTCAGAGTCACATGGTGTTTTGGTTGCCTCTGAAAACTAAAAGATTACATCTGAACATATGGACTTGAGTTGTTTTTCAGAAACCAGGACTCTCCAAATGACAAATGCCAAACATTCAGGCCTGGTGGCTCACGCCTGTAATCCCAGCACTTTGGGAGGCTGAGGCGGGCAGATCACAAGGTCAGGAGTTCGAGACCAGCCTGACGAACATGGTGAAACCCAGTCTCTACTAAAAATACAAAAAATAGCTAGGCATGGTGGCAGGTGCCTGTAATCCCAGCTACTCAGGAGGCTGAGGCAGGAGAATCATTTGAATCTGGGAGGCAGAGGTTGCAGTGAGCCGAGATCATGCCACTGCACTCCAGCTTGGGTGACAGAGTGAGACTTCATCTCAAAAAAAAAGAAAAGAAAGAAAGAAAGAAAAATGCCAAACATTGTCACATATACCTCAGATAAGAGAAAAACTAAGAACTAGTATCTGATCACCATTCTTTGCCCTAAGTTTCTTCCTGGGGGTCCTGGGGAGCATCATGCCTACAGGCTAAACCTTAACATTCCTTTCTGTTGAACCCCAAGCTTTTAAACAAAGCATTGCTCCCTTAGCCTATTGCAAATCAAAAACAAATCTCTAAATTCACCTATGACTTGTGAGCCCTACTTCAAGATATCCCACCTTTTTGGGCCAAGCAAATATATAAACTCTTTATGTTGATTTATGATTTTGCCTGTAACTTCCGCTTTCTTAAAATGTACTCTTGTCTTAAAAACCGTTGCTTGTAAGTCATCGGGAAGTTCAGATCTTCAGCATTAGCTGCCCATCTTCCTTGCTTGGTGACCTGTAATAAATGACTCACTTTCTTTTGCTGAAAATCCTGGTATGTTTGCCTTTTTTTGTGTACCAGGCACACAGATCCAAGCCTTGTTTGGTAACATCAATAATTAAACAGTAGTCTTTGTCTTTACACACATGTGTGTACACATACACACACACACCCCTTACCTCACAAACAAAAATTAATAGATCCTGGTTCTTTCCATCTAAAGAATCCTTAGATTTTTTTAACACATGCTCCTGAATAATTTCAATTTCCCAATCACCATTAACTTTTGCTCTTTCATTCAGCAGGTAATGTTTAACATACTGCATATAAAACACTGTGCAAAAAGACCATGAAAAAGTAACGTTCTTTTTCATCAAGGAGTATACAGTGAATTGGAGGACAAGTATACACAGTGTGATAAGGGCTATGATAAACATGTACAGAAAACAATGGGAGCACAGAAGACAAGGGGCACCTCACCCAGGCTGGCAGAGGTGGTAGTGACAGGAAAGGGGAAGAAACTGTCATGAGTGACCCTTGAAGGACAAACAGAACAAACAGGAGTTAAACAGGTGAAAAACAGGAAACGGTGTAAAGAGAAGGGACTTGTCAGCTTTTGTAAGTAACTTGAATTTTGGGACCCCAGTTTTTTTTATCCATAAAAATTGGATAATAATTATCTAGGGCACACCAACATGTCTAAATGTGTGTGTGTGTATGTGTGTGTATGTGCATGAAGGGTGCACCCATTTTGGTTGGTACCTTCTCTGACTCCTCAGCTAACCTCATTACATCAGTAAGAAGACAAATTAGGATAGTGTATGTGAACATACAAAGTAATCTATACAATATAAATTTAATTAATTAAAATCTACCAGGATGAATTTGTTGCTTGAATCACATGTTGACTTAGAAAGATGCTGAAGGTAAAAAGTGGAAGAAGAAAGAAGAAAACTAACTTACATAGAATTCCTATTACGCACAGCATGAACAAGGTATTTAGATATATACTCCTTTTTTATAGTCCCCAAAAAACCAATAGATAGAAATATGCAATTGAAGGAGCCCAGGGAACCTCACTCCTAAATATGGCACCGTTGTATGATGATTGCTTTAAATTAAAGACCCTTAAAAGTCAGAAGAGGCTGGAACAGACTCTACTCTGATATTCCCCTATCTACCTTAAGACTGCACCTGCCAAACAGAACACAATTGCCTTCTATCCCCTCCCTGAAATCTCATCATCTGTCACAGAAAAGAAGATTGAGGAATGTAACCACACCTGGACAGACTTTTTCACAAGATAACATCTAGTTCATTCAAATTCCAAAGGGAATCATTTACAAGTTAAGGATCTATTCATTCTCCCTAATAATCACTACCCCTCAAAAAAATCACCGCCATTTTACATCTCCCCCTATAAAGAAGGGTATATAAGCATCTGGGCTTCATTGGGTTATTGGATAACCACACTTCTGCGATTTTCTCCCATGCACATTAAATAAATTTTGTACACCTTTCTCATATTAATCTGCCTTTTGTCAGTTCATTTTCGGTGAACCTTCAGTAGGCAGAAAAGATAATCTCCCTCCACCTCTACACTATCATTATTTTCCAAAGGAGAAAACTCATAAAAGTTAAATATTTTTCCCATGGTAAAACAGCTAGTAAGTGGAATACTCAGAATTTTAAGTCAGTTGTTCTAAGTTCTAACTCTTTTCATACTCCTATGTGGCAAAGAGCAAATGTTGTGGGAGTACTTCATCCTCATACCATAATCACACCTTTATTTATTTGACTCCCTCCAAAAATTACACCTGTACGTGGTCTGGTTCCAAAACAATCAGTGATGCCAAGGGCAAGATCAGAGGCCTTTGGACTTTATCAAAATCAAGGGGTAATGCTGGGTCTCCTCTGAACAGTGCTTCCTTTGCTTAAGAAAAGCTGTGGCTAATGTCCTATTCTCTTCCCCACTCCAAAGCAAGAAAAGAAAAGAAGGAAAAAGCCAAGTTTTCAGATTTAGAGAAAATCATGTGAAGACTCATGCCTTAGCTTAATTTCTGCAGTCAACACTATGCACTAAGAGCTGACTATGTGTTTAGCACTAGAGAAATGCCAGTTGGCATCAGAACTGGACTTCAAGGGATGAGAGAGACTCCAGGCTGAGAGAAAATGTAACTGTCAAGGCACAGAGGTGAAAACACCTAGGTAATGCCTGGGAAGTACAGATAAGTTCAAGCTGGTTAGAAAATAGATCATGAGAATAGAGATATCAGTCTATCTCCCAAATATCTCACAATTCTGTCTCTCTCTCCACCTCTACTTCTGTGGTCTTTGTTAAATATCAGGACTCTTTATAAGAGCTTGTCATTATTCTTAGTATGAAAAGACACAGTAACCTTAAACTATCTTACTTTTCTAAATTCTACAAAAATATATTTGACCATTTAATACTTAACTAGGACTCCCCCAGGACCTTAGACGGGGCCTGAGAAGTGAGAGGACCTGATGCTTATTTCATTATCTTTATGTTAATCTGCATCTGGGGAGTAAAGGATGAAGTTGATAAGGAAGGAACAAGAAAATAGAAGATAAATTATATCATCAGCACATGTCAAGAGAAAAGTAACCATAAGACAAACATCCTTCCCCAAATAACAAGAAATAAATATCACGGAATATTTATATAAAAAGGCTGATTTTTTTTCTAGAAATGATGATATTGCCCTAAATCAGCAAAATTAAATGTTCCACCATCAGTAAAATTGCTTGCTCAAATATTAAGCCAAGTTATAATCAAGTTTAAAACTTATATCTTCACTCAGAATAAAGGGTAAACACATAGGGTCAGCCTTGGAAAGCTGGATAAACATTTATTCCTATGAAACAGAAAGAAGAGCATTAACAAATTTAAGAAAAAAAAAGGAGAGGGGACTTTTCATACAATAAAAGAAGATATCTGAAAATAATAGAAAATATTTGTATTAATCCAAAAGTTCTTTGCTTGCCCTTAGTATATCTTCCAATAAATTGAATTATTGAAGGAAATGTTATTATATATCAAGGGAAATGACAATATTATTTACCCATAGCTTGATTTCTTATATCTAAAAAATTGTGAATTTAGTACTTACAAATATAAGAGACATAGTGACTGAAGCCAGTAATAAAAATAAAAAATATTATGTCACTGTCATCACATCGCATTATAAATATCCTTAAAATTATCCTCTTGTGTCATTATCCACATATGAATATTTCTTATGATAGCATACAACTTTATTTACTTTCTACTATCTGGAAAAATTATTAACATTTTAGACATGAGCTTGTCAAATTAAAAAAGCTCACAGCAACTGTTTCACATTAGTTGCAAAAGTCATCACTTGGCCAACATTTAAAACTAGTTGTCAAAATAAAGACAAAAACTTAATAAAGAATGATATACTGCCAATATTATACCATGCATAAGAGTGCATAATTTTAGCTGTCTTTGATGGACCCAAGAAAAAGATTTTGAATAAAATAAAGTAGTAAAATGTATTGCAGGGACAATTAGCTTCATAATTAGGAGCATTTGCCATGATGTACATGGGGTTCTAAATTTTTGAATTCATATTAAAACTGATAAAACGAAGAGTGTTTTTCTCACTAATGCCACAACTTAGGACTAATTTGTAGAAGAAACTACCTATAAAAGGCTTTTGTTATGGTAGTTGCCATTATGTCACCAAATAAATGCACTTGGATTGCATCCAAGACTGACTACCCAGTCTTCACCACTTTGCAAAACAAGTTTTCTTTATGAAACAAAAATGTCGAGGCAATTTCTAACTTGCAGTGAGTTGTATTCTAAAATATATTTTGCAGGTGGCTGTTTGTTAGATTCACAATGATTTCCATGGTGCCATACTTGGGGGTCAACTAAAGAAATAAATTTAACCCACAATATACCAGTATTATAGAATAAATTATGAGAAGTATGTATTGTGTATAACAACAATTCTCTGGAAACTACAGTTATTGATTTTTCTAAAAATGCCAGGAACACACCCCATATTTGCTGCAGCTGGATAGGAAATTTCCCTTCCAACTCTACCTCTGCTTAAGGGGCAGTTAGAACAAAGAGTTTATCAGCTTTAAGCTAATGCAGGAGTTGTGAGAGTTAGAGTTGAGGAAGACAAGTTGAAAGGCATGATTGCTACAAACTGAGGGTGTCTGGTATAATAGGGCCTTAGAAACACATCAGTAGCCATTTGCCACTTATCTCTTTTATTTCTTCTTGTCAACCCAAGGATAAGTTAGAATGTAAGATTTCTGATAGCATTGTCTTTGAATTATGATCTGGGTTTGTTCCCTCTCAAGTCTACTTAGAAACAGTTTCTTTTTTCCTATTTCACTTTTTCAAAAATAAACCAAAAAGGACTATCTGAGGTGTTTTGCTTTCTTTGAGTTTTATCTGCTTAAATCAATTTTTACTGCAACTCACAATGAGGAAACAGAATTTTTTATGAGCCTCTCAAATTCTTCCTTTTCATATAGATTCAGTTATCTTCATACATAGTATTACAGTAAGCTTGTTTGTCAGAACCAGCTATGAGAGACAGAGCAACTACTTTTGATTAATGATAGTTTAATTATCGATGTTTTAATGCAATGTTTAAAAAATAACTTATAATGGATTTAAGGTTAGTTCTATAATAAGTGACTTCTTTCTTGCAGTCTGATGTGTTTTTGAAAAGTGAGAGAGAAAGTGCTGGAATTGTGTATATATAAGTTGGGAATTTGACAGTGCCTACAGCCCTTACTTTATCAATGCAAACATGATCATATGTCTTGAGTGACAATGTATAAAAAATGTAGAGAAACACTCCTGTAGAGAAAGATGGAATCTTCGTAGACAGAAAGAACTGGAGAAAGAAAAAACTTTTTCTGAGTTTAATAGAAATGTGAGGATCTTGTTTTCCTGGGCATTTGATTAGAGGCCTTAGGGTAGAGTCTAAGGGAATGCACTAATTGGCATGTGCTCAGTCTCAGCATTGGGATAGCAATGAAGGAGAGATGGGAAAGCATACCTTAGCCTTTTACCATTTCATTTTAAAGTTCTGCTTCATAGGACCCTATCTTAGATAATATCAGAAGCATGAGAGGAAGCTGGATCAGTTTCCAAATATTAGTTAAGAAGGAGGTTAGTGCACAAAGTAGAGAAAGTGAAAAAAAAATTGAAGGATTTTCCAATGTTTCCACTAAAATAGGAGAGATATTAAAACTATCTTTGCAAAGATTATGACAGTGAGAGAAATCTAGCATGGCTGGTTCCATCTTACTTCTAGCCTCACAGGCTGACCATCTTTGCTCATTTCTGGGCATAGGCCGAGGAAAACATGGGAGAAATTTAGTTTGTAGTTTAACCTGGAAGCAAAGATGATAATAATCCCCCCGAAAGCTACCCCTGTTCTTGCTAAAGGACTGAAAACTAATAAAAGGCCATGAGATTAGGATTATGGGATGGGCCTGAACTCTGCTAAAATGTAGGCATAGTTTCTATAATCCCTAACTGACAGGACACATGTGGCCAAAGATCGTAAGATTTGTGGCTTCCCCAATTGTTCCTATATATAACATGACCATTGTAGAACCTAAGATTGATATTTCAAGATGCTTTTCAAACGTTTGCATTCTGGCAGTTGACTGACCCCATCTAGACTATGACTCATGACTCAGTTCATCTGTGGTCCCCACCCAGAGGTGGACTCAGCACATGAGGACTGTTTTCTACATCCTTGTGATTGCATCCCCAACTAATCAGTAGTCCCCATTCCCTACTTCCCTACTCATCACACCATCCTTCAAAAACCCAAACCTCCAAGCCTTCCAAGAGACTGATGTAATAACTTTTTCTTCTGCATGTCTAACCTACCATTAATTAACTCTTTCTTTATTGCAATACCACAGTCTCAGTGAATTGGTTTTATCTGTACAGCAAGCAAGAACCCACCAGGTGATTACAATATAAAATTAGAGCCTACCTTTTTATTATGTCCCGTATGCAGAATTAACCTGGAAAGCCCGTGGACATACAGTACAATGCATGGGTCAGCCACCTTTTTTGTAAAAAGTCAGACAGTAAATATTTTAAGCTTTACTCGTCATATGACCTCTGTTGCAGCTACTTAACTCTACTATTGTTGCAAAAAAGGCAGTCTTAAACAATATGTAAATGAATGATTGTGACTGGGTTACAGTAAACGTTATTTTTTCTAAATAATAGGCAGTGGACCTGATTTGGCCTGAGGGCCATACTGTGTCCACTCCTGCTATAATGGAATAAGCACTAGAATTAGTTTAGCTGTTAAGTAATGTATTTTATAATCTGAGTTTGCTTAACTCTTCAAGGTCTCTTTTTCTTCAGGTTTCTCATGTGTAAAATGAGTGCTGAACTAGCTCTGTAATAATGTATGCAGATATGTTACACTTATATATTTATAGAGTTTATTTGATAAATTTACATTACATTCATCAGGGTAAATATTGCAACTGTTGTAACAGACAAACTCAGAATCTCAGTTGCATAACAAACTGAAAGTGTATTTCTCATTTATGTGAAGTTCAAAGCAGATGTTCCTTCTCCAGAGCATCTTGTTCACAGGCTGTGATTCAGGAACCCCATATTACATTGTTTGGCTAGAGCAAAGACGCATCAGTGTTACCCAACCAGCAGTCCTGAGGGAAGGGAACACTGAGGATTACATATTGCAACCTTACCTGTCTCCTAGAGGTAACGTAGACATGCATCGGTAACAGGGTCTACCTGGATGCAAGGGGGAGAGGCTGGGAAATAATAGTCCTTGAAGGGGCAGCCATTGTCCAGCAACATCTCCATACTATGGAAGGGATGAAGAAATTATTAGTGGTCAGCTGGCAGTATCTGCCACAATTATAAATGCAAAATGTGAAAAAAGTCCCCAGTGTGTATGTATGTGTTCTACAAAAATATTCATTATGTGTATTTGGAGATGGTTTTCAGAAATATTAAGTAAGGCCCCTGTGGAAACTAGATAAGAATAAATGAGGCCGGGTGCAGTGGCTCATGCCTGTAATCCCAGCACTTTGGGAGGCTGAGGCAGGCGGATCACCTGAGATCGGGAATTCGAGACCAGCCTGACCAACATGGTGAAACCCCATCTCTACTAAAAATACAAAAATTAGCCTGGCATAGTGGTGCATGCCTGTAATCCAAGCTACTCGGGAGGCTGAGGCAGGAGAATCACTTGAACCTGGGAGGCAGAGGTTGCAGTGAGCCGAGATTGTGCCACTGAACTCCAGCCTGGGCAACAAGAGCAAAACTCCATTTCAAAAAAAAAAAAAATAAATGAATATATTTAGTTTATTAATGAAGTAATGGACACATCAAAATTTTGGCCAATTGTTTAATATTTCCACAATAAATCAATAATATACTTGAGTTTCAACTGTAAGGACTAAAGCCATACTTTCAAAGTTTTGCTTATTCTTTTATAAAATCGAATGTATAATGAATTGGAATTTCCACAAGCAGCTGGTGCTCACACCTACAAATGCATAACAATAACTGTTTCCTCCCAAAGTCCAAATGCAATTCTAGTTAGGCAAAGAAAGTTACAGAGTTTGGAGATGAGCCAAAGCAAAAGAATTAAGCATAGTTAAGCAGACTTCCAGACATAGAAAGCAGCTGAATTTCTTCTTAGGGATTCATAATTATAAGGAGGTCATTAGAAGAAGATTTAAAACAGTATTGCTGGCTTGCCTTTGATGCTACAAATTCATCTCTCTTTGATGCTTATGGTGCCCCTTATGCTCAGTCACTACAATGTTTTAAGGATTATTACAAACTAGGGGAAGCTGTTTATTCAATTGCTTACTCAAATCTTTCTGAATGCTAAACGTGGCACACACTCCTATCTTAACAAACTATTGAAAAGTGAGTTTATAATCAGGGAAGCCAATGAAACAAATAAAACAACTCTTTGAAGAGGATTCATTTACTATATCTACATATGTAGATATCTATATATCTACATAGATAGATAGATGTGTATATATATATGCATATTTACTGAGTACTTCTGTATACCAAGGATAATACTGAGACAGTGTATGCAAATAACCATAAGCCTTGCCCTCATAGAACTTAGACTCTTATAGGGAAGTAGAAAATAAACAAGAGACACATATATAATTCCAACCTACCAAGCATAAGGAGGAAATAGGTAGAGAATACCACGTAAGGGGATGATCCACTTATAAAGGGTATACAGGGACAACCTAAAAGACATTTAACTCAAGACTTAAGGAAGATAAAGAATCAGCTAAGTAAAACCTCAGAGGAAGAGAATTCCAGGGAGAAAAGAAAAACAGTAAGTGGAAAAGACCTAAAACAGGAAAAAGCCTAGCATGTATGAAAAACAAAACGGAAGCTAGTGTGACTCCACTTGTGAGCTAGAGGAGAGAGACTCAATGGAGGTAAGAAGCAGGCCAACCATGGAAGAGCTTCAAGTCTAGGCATGCATGTGAAATATTATTCTGATCTGCACAGGAAACTCATGGAAGGTTTTAAAGCAGAGCCAAGATTTTTATCTGATTTCATAAAAGATCATTCTGACTGTCGAGTGGGGAATACATTAGGGTCTGAGTCAAAGGGGAGGAAGGAAATAAAGGAGAGACCCAGGGGCGGAAGTTAATAAAACAAAAATCGGAATTAACTTAAAGTTTGTTGTCTCAGTTGAACATGGGCAAATCTTTCCTTTTTTATTTTTCACTTTTTATTGATACATAATAATTGTATATATTTGTAAAAACACTTGATATTTTGATACATGCATAAAGGGCGTAATGATTAAATGAGGGTATTCAGGATACTCATCGCCTTGAACATTTATCATTTCTTTGTGTTGGGAACATTTCAAATCTCTTCTAGCTATTTTGAAATAGATAATAAATGATTGTAATTTATTGTAGTCTCTCTATTATGGTAGTAACTGTAGTCTCTCTATTATGCTACCAAACACTGGATCTTGCTCCTTCTATCTAACTCTATCTTTGTGCCCATTAACCACCCCCTCTTTATCCCCTGCTCCCCACTACCCTTTTTAGCCTCTAGCAACCATCATTCTACTCCCTATCTCCATGAGATCAAAATTGTTTAGCTCCCACCTATGAGTGAGAATATGCAATATTTGTCTTTCTGTGCCTTCCTTATTTCATTTAACATAATGGCCTCCAGTTCCATCAATGTTACTGCAAATGACAAGATTTCATTCTTATGTCCGAATAGTACTCCATTATTATATAGATCATATATTGTTTCTCCATTCATCATTTAATGGACACTTAGGTTGATTCCTTATCTTGGCTATTATGAATAGTGCTACAATAAACACAGGAGTGCATATATCCCTGTGATATATATTTTTTCTGTCCTTTGAAGCAAATAGTAGTGAAATTGCTAGACTGTATGATAGTTCTATTTTTAATTTTTTAAGAAAACTACATAATGTTTTCCACAATGGCTTTAGTAATTTACATTTCCACTAACATTGTAAAAGAGATTTCTTCTCTCCACCACCAGCATTTGTTATGTTTTGTTTTTTTGGTAATAAGAAAATGAGAAAATCCTATTATTCCTGATACGAGACTATAAAGTTATTTCAGTAAAAACCAATCAGTTAAGTCAGAAAGCTGAGGAAAATATTTATACAAAATATAGTTTACATAACATTTCATTTGAGGGTGTTGGTCTAACTCTGTAAGAATATTTTTACATTTATACAAGCTATAAGCTTTAGACGTCTTACATCCCTATAGTACAAACACATTGCATGCATATACACACACATACATACATACATAGATACACATACAATTTTCTACTGTGTACAATGTATACAAAAAATATCTCTTCAGAATGCTATTTCCCAAAATTGGGAAACAGGAATGATATTGGCATTAGAAAGGGCTTTAGGTAACATTGGACATGATATTTGATAACAGGATGTATTAGTCCATTCTCGTATTGCTGTAAAGAAATACCTGAGATTGGGTAATTTATAAAGAAAAGAGGTTTAATTGGTTCATGGTTCTGCAGGCTGTACAGAAAGCATGGCAGCATCTGCTCAGTTTCCAGGGAGGCCTCAGGAAACTTTCAAGCCTGGCAGAAGGCAAAGGGGGAGTTAGACACTTTACATAACTAGCACAGGAGGAAGAGAGCTGGGGGGAGGTGCTACACACTTTTACACAGCCAGGTCTCACAATCCCTCACTCACTATCTTGAAAATATCACCTAGAGGATGGTGCTAAATCATTCATGAGAAACCCATCCCGTGATTCAATCACCTCTGACCAGGCCTCACCTCCAACACTAGGGATTGCAATTCAACATGAGATTTGGGTGGGTTCACAGATCCAAACCATATCAAAGGACACAGTAAAAAATAACATGAATTTAGATAGTGAGAACTTTATTTTCTTTTCTTTCAAGCCCAACGATGTCAAAGAGGAAGTTTCAATTTAAGACTAAATATTATTTAACATCTGTCTAACATGAGCTAATCTTTATTTTTTAATTATATCTCAAGCTCCCATACTTTAGTAGTAAACAATACTGACATAGTTTGGATGTGTTTCCCTGCCCTGATCTCATGTTGAAATGTAATCCACAATGTTGAAGGTAGGGCCTGGTGGGAGGTGACTGAATCATGGGGGCAGATTTCAACGAATGGTTTAACATCATCCCCTGATGCTGTCCTCATGATAGTGAGTGAGTTACTGTGAGAGCTGGTTGTTTAAAAGTGCGTGGCAACTCCCCACTCTCTCTCTTGCTCCTCCTTTTGTCATGTGATGTGCCTGCTCCCCCTTTGCCTTCTGCCACGATTGGAAGCTTCCTGACGCCTTGCCAGAAGAAGATGCTGCTGTTTCCTGTACAGCCTGTGAAACCGTGAGCCAATTTAATCTCTTTATGTTATAATTTATCCAGTCTCAGATATTTTAGCAATGCAAGAATGAACTAATACAGAAAATTAGTACTGAGGGTTGTGGAATCGCTATAAAGATTCCTGAAAATGTGGAAGTGACTTTAGAACTGGGTAATGGGCAGAGGTTGGAAGAGTTTGGAGGTCTCAGAAGAAAACACAGAAGATTAGGAAAGTTTGGAATTTCTTTGAGACTGGTTGAATGGTTGTGACCAAATGCTGATAGTGATATGGACAGTGAAGGCAATGCTGACGGTGTCTCAGATAGAGATGAGGAATGTATTGGGAACTATAGCAAAGGTCACTTTTGTTACGCATTAGAAAAGAACTTGACTACGTTGTGTCCATGCCCTAGGGATCTGTGGAAGTTTGAACTTGAGAGTGATGACCTAAGGTATCCGGCAGAAGAAATTTCTAAGCAGCAAAGTGTTCAAGATGGGCCTGGATGCTTCTAACATCCTACACTCATATGCAGGAGCAAATAAATTACTTAAAGGTGGAACTTACACCTTATACAAAAATTAATTCAAGATGGATTAAAGACTTAAACGTTAGACCTAAAACCATAAAAACCCTAGAAGAAAACCTAGACATTACTATTCAGGACATAGGCATGGGCAAGGACTTCATGTCTAAAACACCAAAAGCAATGGCAACAAAAGCCAAAATTGACAAATGGGATCTAATTCAACTAAAGAGCTTCTGCACAGCAAAAGAAACTACCATCAGAGTGAACAGGCAACCTACAAAATGGGAGAAAATTTTCGCAACCTACTCATCTGACAAAGGGCTAATATCCAGAATCTACAATGAACTCAAACAAATTTACAAGAAAAAAACAAACAACCCCATCAAAAAGTGGGCAAAGGATATGAACGGACACTTCTCAAAAGAAGACATTTATGCAGCCAAAAGACACATGAAAAAATGCTCATCATCACTTGCCATCAGAGAAATGCAAATCAAAACCACAATGAGATACCATCTCACACCAGTTAGAATGGCAATCATTAAAAAGTCAGGAAACAACAGGTGCTGGAGAGGATGTGGAGAAATAGGAACACTTTTACACTGTTGGTGGGACTGTAAACTACTTCAACCATTGTGGAAGTCAGTGTGGCGATTCCTCGGGGATCTAGAACTAGAAATACCATTTGACCCAGCCATCCCATTACTGGGTATATACCCAAAGGACTATAAATCATGCTGCTATAAAGACACATGCACATGTATGTTTATTACGGCACTATTCACAATAGCAAAGACTTGGAACCAATCCAAATGTCCAACAATGATAGACTGGATTAAGAAAATGTGGCACATATACACCATGGAATACGATGCAGACATAAAAAATGATGAGTTCATGTCCTTTGTAGGGACATGGATGAAATTGGAAATCATCATTCTCAGTAAACTATCACAAGGACAAAAAACCAAACACCGCATGTTCTCACTCATAGATGGGAATTGAACAATGAGAACACATGGACACAGGAAGGGGAACATCACACTCTGGGGACTGTTGTGGGGTGGGGGGAGCGGGGAGGGATAGCATTAGGAGATATACCTAATGCTAAATGACGAGTTACTGGGTGCAGCACACCAGCATGGCACATGTATACATATGTAACTAACCTGCACATTGTGCACATGTACCCTAAAACTTAAAGTATAATAATTTTTTTAAAAAAAGGATAAAATAAATAAATAAATAAAAGGGTTGCAGAGCATAAAGGTTTGGAAAATTTGCAACCTGACCATGTGGGAGAGAAAGAAAAAGCTTTTTTGGGAGGGGAATTCAAGTAGGCTGTGGAGCAACCACTTGCTAGAGATATTTGCATAACTAAAAAGAAGCCAAGCGCTGATAGCTAAGACAATGGGAGAGGCAGGGAAGGCTTCAAGGGCATTTTGGAGAACTTCAAGGCAGCCCCTCCCATTACAGACCCAGGGCCCTAAGAGGAAAGGATGGTTTCATGAGCCAGGCCCAGGGATCTGCTGCCCCACACAGCCTTAGGACACTTCTCCACATATCCTGGTCACTCTAGCTCTAGTCACTTCTTAAAATGGCTCATGTGGCTGGGTGCAGTGGCTCACACCTGTAATCCCAGCACTTTGGGAGGCCGAGGCAGACGGATCACAAGGTCAGGAGATTGAGACCATCCTGGCTAACATGGTGAAACCCTGTCTCTACTAAAAATGCAAAAAACATTAGCCGGGCATGGCGGTGGGCACATGTAGTCCCCTACTCAGGAGGCTGAGGCAGGAGAATGGCGTGAACCTGGGAAGTGGAGCTTGCAGTGAGCTGAGATCGCACCACTGCGCTCCAGCCTGGGTGACAGAGCAAGACTCCACCTCATAAAAAAAAAAAAAAAAAAGGCTCATGTACAGCTTGGACAGCTGCTTCAGAGGGTACAAGCTGTAAGCCTTGGTGGTCTCCTCATGGTGTTAAGTCTGTGGGTGCACAGAGTACACAGGGGTTGAGGCTTGGGAGCCTCTGCCTACATTTCAGAGGATATATAGAAAAGCCTGGATGTCCAGGCAGAAGCCTGCTGCAGGGGCAGAACCCTCATGGAGAACCTCTACTAGGGCAGTGTGGAGACAGGAAATGTGGGGTTGGAGCTCCCACACAAAGTCCCCAGTGTGTTACTTCCTGGTGGAGTTGTGAAAAGAGGGCCACCATCCACAAGACCCCAGAATGGTGGCTCCACCAGCAGCTTGTACCCTGTTCCTGGAAAAGCTGCAGGCACTCAATGCCAGTTCATGAGAGCAGCTGCAGGGATTGAACCCTGCAACGCCACAGAAGCAGAGATGCCCAAGGCCTTGGGAGCCCACCCCTTGCATCAGTGTGGCCTGGATGTGGTACATGGAGTCAAATGAGATTATTTGGGGGCCTTAAGATTTAATGACTGCTCTGCTGGATTTTGAACTTGCATGTTCCTGTAGCCCCTTTTTTGCTCAATTTCTTCCTTTTGGAATGGGAATGTTTACCTGTTTGTACTCTCATTGTATCTTAGAAGTAACTAACTTGTTTCTTATTTTACAGGCTCATAGGAAGAAGGAATTTGCCTTGTCTTGGCTAAGACTGGACTTTGGGTTTTTGAGTTAACACTGGAATGAATTAAGATTTGGGGGGATTACTGGAAAGCATGATTGTATTTTGAAATATGAGAAGAACATTAGATTCGGGAGGGGCCAGGGATGGAATTATATGTTTAGATGTGTGTTCCCACCCAAATCTCATGTTGAAATGTAATCCCTAATGTTTGACGGGGGGCTTGGTAGGGGGTGATTGGATCATGGGGGGGGATTTCTCATGAATGGTTTAACACCATCCCTTGGTGCTGTCCTCATAGTAGTGAGTGGGTTATCATGAGATCTGTTGGTATAAAACTGTGTGGCACTGTCCCCCACTCTTTGCTCCTGCTTTTGCCAGGTAATGTGCCTGCTCCCCTGTTCCTTTCTGCTATGATTCTGCTTCTGCTTCCTGAGGTCTCCCTAGAAGCAGATGCTGCTGTGCTTCCTGTACAACCTGCAGAACCATTAGCCAATTAAAGTTCTTTTCTTTGTAATTTATCCAGTCTCAGGTATTTCTTTTCAGCAATGCAAGAATGTACTAATACAAATACCTAGTTATGATTTAATGATTTTTATTTGCTTATATTGAATTTGTGATTACAGTCTGTTTATGAAAGAAGATATTTTTAAAAAGGATGTTTTCACATTTTGGTAATAAGAAAAATATTTCTTAAATAATATTTAAGTAAAAATGTGAATTGGGTTTAAAAAAATAAAGATATGATGGTCTTCAGAATTTTGCAAAAACCATAAACATAATTCATAAACAACTGAAGTTTGTGAAACACCATTTAGAATAGTTTGTTTCAGAGGCAACAAATTACTCAAAAAATAATAAAAATTATGAAATTAACTACACAAATATTTCCACAACATTAGTGATATCCTAGTGGGTCTTGTAATTGTTAACAAGTCCAGAGAGGACCAGATTAAATTGGCCATTGTCCAAAGGCCATTCCTGCCAACATCCAGCCTCCTCTCTCAGGTATAGAGATATTAAAATAATGAAGAAGATAACTATCTTATTCGGTTTGCTCTGGCCTTTGTAGAAAGAATAAAAAATAAATAAGCAATGTATATAATAGAATTTATAAATAGGCAATTGCTTTGCAAATTATTGCAATCAAGGGGGAAAAGGTGATTTCAAAAACACCAACTAAATTCAATAGCCCCATGGAGATGTAGGTGATTAAATCTTTATATGATTTCAGATGTTTGATTGACTTGGGAATAAAAAGTACATGTATTTCCAAAGAGGTAGTTAAAAATCGTCAATATTTTTTATATAGGAATCTGATTTGGACTCTTCTGCAAGATTTTTCTATTTAATAAACATAGTAATCCCAGAAGAAAATTCAATCCTATGTGAAATAAAACATAACAAACTTTGTATTGCATAAAATAAATAATTATTTTGGCCTGCTATTATTCTTATTTAGGTAATTATTTTTCTGAAAAGGACCAGG